>NC_000001.11:223371761-223558935 GCF_000001405.40 Homo sapiens
CAGGACGCTCTGCTGCAAGTCTGTTGGAGTTTGCTAGAGGTCCACTCCAGACCCTGTTTGCCTGGCTATCCGCAGCGGTGTTTGCAGAACAGCAGTTTATCGTGAACCACAAATGCTGCTGTCTGATCGTTCCTCTGGAAGTTTTGTCTCAGAGGAGTACCCGGCCCAGTGAGGTGTCAGTCTGCCCCTACTGGGGGGTGCCTCCCAGTTAGGCTGCTCAGGGGTCAGGGGTCAGGGACCCACTTGAGGAGGCAGTCTGCCCATTCTCAGATCTCCAGCTGCATGCTGGGAGAACCACTGCTCGCTTCAAAGCTGTCAGACAGGGACATTAAGTCTGCAGAGGTTACTGCTGTCTTTTTGTTTGTCTGTGCCCTGCCCCCAGAGGTGGAGCCTACAGAGGCAGGCAGGCCTCCTTGAGCTGTGGTGGGCTCCACCCAGTTCGAACTTCCAGGCTGCTTTGTTTACCTAAGCAAGCCTGGGCAATGGCGGGCACCCCTCCGTCAGCCTCGCTGCCGCCTTGCAGTTTGATCTCAGACTGCTGTGCTAGCAATCAGCGAGACTCCGTGGGCGTAGGACCCTCTGAGCCATGTGCGGGATATAATCTCCTGGTGCACCATTTTTTAAGCCCGTCGGAAAAGCGCAGTATTCGGGTGGGAGTGACCTGATTTTCCAGGTGCCATCTGTCACCCCTTTCTTTGACTAGGAAAGGGAACTCCCTGACCCCTTGTGCTTCCCTAGTGAGGCAATGCCTCACCCTGCTTTGGCTCACGCATGGTGCGTGCACCCACTAACCTGCGCCCACTGTCTGGCACTCCCTAGTGAGAGGAACCCGGTACCTCAGATGGAAATGCAGAAATCACCCATCTTCTGCGTCGCTCACACTGGGAGCTGTAGACCAGAGCTGTTCCTATTTGGCCATTTTGGTTATTATTATTACATATGTTATTATTATTAATCTTTTTCTACATTATCCCATGTATTATTTTTGTAGGGCTGCCAAAACAAAATACCACAGATTGGGTGGCATAAACAACAGACATTTATTTTCTCACAGTCCTGGAGGCTAGAGGTCCAAGATCAAGGTGCCAGCAGGGTTGGTTCCTTCTGAGGTCCCTGTACATTGCTTGTAGACTACCATCTTCTCTGTGTGATCACATGGTCTTTCCTCTGTTGTGTCTGCGTCCTCATCTCCTCTTTTTTTAAAGACACCAGTCATATTCGATTAAGGAACACCCTAACAACCCCATTCTAACTTCATTGCCCTTTTAAAGACCCTGTCTCCAAATACGTTCTTGTTCTGAAGTACTGGGGGTTAGGGCTTCAACCTATAAATTTTTGGGGGGGACACAATTGAGCCTGTAACATCCCACAACAAAAATATGGTATATTTTTTAAAGTGTAAAATATAAAACAAAAACATACTCATCATGGGTGAGGATGGTGAAGGCCAAAGAGGTCAGTCCAGTTTTTGGAGACCACCCAGCTAATGAAAGCCTCAGACTTGAAGTTAAGGCAGTTCAACTTCTTCCTAATGGTTTTTCTGCCATTCCACAGCTATTTCTATGAATACCTTCTACCTAAGGGAGTTTACAAAATAAGTCATCTTGAATTTATTTTGTTATATGTTTTTCTCAAGAAGAGGAAGGAAAATGAGGGTAGATGGAATGTAGAAGAGAATATGGTTTACTTCCTATTAAGTGGGAGCAGGTATGGAAACCTGACTTTATCTCTCTTCCTGTCTCAACTCCAGAACCAATACCAATGGGGACAGGAAATAAAGCAAAGCCTCAGAGTCCTCCTCCCAAACACAGGAGAGCACCAGGGGCTTTTTTTCTTAGAGACTGTGCCCCTCCTCTGATTACACACCTTCTCTCTACCCTCCATGCATGAAGTTCCCCACTGTTTTCACTCTTCTTTCCTCGTGGCATACATTATGATTTCACTTTTGGTGGCCAATAATAGTTCACTCTCTATATATTTGTTGAGCACTTACTATGAACTGGACACTCTTCTAGATGCTGGGAATGCAACAGTGAACAAAGACAAAAACCCTTGCCTTCAGCTTTGTGCAGTAGCAGTATTATAGCCAGTGAAGTTTATCTGAGGTGATTATTGCTAACTGAAAAACCCCTGCCTTTCAGGAACTATTCTAATTAAGGAAGACAGATGAGAAGAAAAGAAGGAAAACATTTTTTGTGTTAGATGATGTTAAGCACTAGGCAGAATAATAAATTTGGGAAGAGGTAGAGGAAAAATGTAGGTTACAGTATGGGCTAAGTTGTTGTAACAAAGTGTTCCAAATATATAGTAACTTAAATAGAAGTTTATTTCTCATATATGTAAATTTCTTACCATTCGAGGTAAGGGGCATGGTAAGATGTCTGGGGCATCTCTGCTCCAGAGTCATTCAGGGACCTAGGTTCCTTCTCTCATTGCTCTGTTGATCCCTGAGGTCTTCATTTGCATCACTGAAGCTGGATCATTGGCATTTCTGGGGTCTAGCCCAAAGGAAAGCCGTTAGGGGGCAGTACGGGGAGAAAGAAAAGAAAAGTCTAAGGCAACAATTTTCTTTCAGGCAAATGAGGAAGAAGTTACACAAATTAGCTCTCTCACATATCATTACTGAGAACCTAGTCACATGGCCATACCTAGCTGCAAGGGAAGCTGGGAAATGTAGTCTTTATTGGACAGCCTGGTGACCAGAAAGAAGAGAATGGATTGGAGGGGACATGGGAAACTGGCAGTCTATGGCACCTTCCATGTGAAGATAGAGATAGATGGTGACTTATTTTCCTTAATTAATATTCAAAGGAAAATAAATCATTCGCACCAATCTCTTCCTGACATTGAAAACCAAACTGGAGCCAGTTGTTCTTCTCTTCTGGCTTTCCTCAATCCTGCACACCCAGGAATACACATAATCAACCACAAACCCTTTAATGAGCCCAGAACATACCAGAACATGAGGCTAGCATTGTACCAAATGCTGTTTGGGTGCAAATCTAGAATTTTCACAGTATCTGATTCACCCATTGCCTCAGCCTTGGAGACAAGCTTCAGGGGCTAGAGTGTGGAACAGGATAAATAAGCTCATTCAGTCACACTCCCATCCATTCTTCCTTCCATTCGAAGTGCGCTACTGTGTACCAAGTATATTTCCATCATTGTGTCAGGTATGGAGGATACAAAAACAAAAACATAATCCTTTTCTTTAACAAGTTTACAATCTATGGGGAGAGTTGAAAGACAAACCTGCAATTACACAATCATGGGGTAATTGCTGTGATTGGAAAGTACATAAGAGAAGGTGGCAGGAAAGGGGTCCTGGAGGTGACCTCATATGTCATATGAGTAGAGGGTGTGTGTGTGTGTGTGTGTGTGTGTGTGTGTGTGTCAGAAATAAAGGGGAAAGGACATACAGTGAGTTTTCTAGGCAGAAGGAACAGCTTGTGCAAAGGTCAGGAGGGAAGGATGGGGACAGAGACCAAGGTTAGAATTTAGAATGCAAGTTGGAAAATGCCAAGAGATAAAACTTCTGAGAAGCACTCGGACCATATCAAGAAGGGCTTAGAAAGCCATGCAGAAAAGTGTAGCTTGTGTCTGCAGACCAAGGGAGAAGACCATGGAGGGGTGGGAAGAAAATGGAGAGGTGAACCAGAAAGGGACTATTGACCATTGGCCCACAGATACATGAAAGATGCTCAACATCATTAATTAATTGGGGAATACCAATTAAGAGACACTGTTTTCACACATCAGATGGATTACAAATACTGTAAGTTTGATAATACCAGGTGTTTGGTGATAATGCAGGGAAAAGGGAGTTCCAATATTCTGCTGGTACGAGTGTAAATTTCTGTATATTGACCATGTCTTTTGTTTTCTGTATTTTGATGCTTTGACATTTGGGACCTTGGTGACCCTCAAGGGGCTGCGCTTCCCAGAACTAGACAATTCCTAGAAATAGTAGACCACGGCCGGGCGCAGTGGCTCACGCCTGTAATCCCAGCACTTTGGGAGGCCAAGGCAGGCGAATTACGAGGTCAGGAGATCGAGACCATCCTGGCTAACACAGTGAAACCCCATCTCTACCAAAAAATAGAAAAAATTAGCCGGGCATGGTGGCGGGCGCCTGTAGTCCCAGCTACTCAGGAGGCTGAGGCAGGAGAATGGCGTGAACCCGGAAGAGGGAGCATGCAGTGAGCCGAGATGGCGCCACTGTACTCCATCCTGGGCAACAGAGTGAGACTCCGTCTCAAAACACAAAAAAGAAATGGTAGACTACACTCCCCCCCACCCTCCTCTATGAGCTGTCACACTCAGGGCCACTATTCTCCTGCCCTTACCACCCCAGGTCCAGGTACCAGACAACTAGGCACAGCCCCTATGCCCCAGAGTCTGCTGAAACCATTCAAACTGGCCCATCTTAAATCTGTTTACACTGCCTCACCTGTTCCTTCCCATGAAAGTACAATAAAGGCTCTTGTCCATGTTCCCCACCGCACTCTCACTCCTTCTGCCTCTAGACCTACCTGGTGCTTCCCCACGTGGCCCTGCATGGCATGCCATGCCCCCGCCTCTAGGCATCTCTGACTCTTAAAAACTTTTAGCTTCATGACAGTCATTTCTACGTCTGTGTGTCTTAACATACCTAATTAAAACAAATCCCAGGCACTTTTAGAACAGGCCACCACTGGCAAGGAGGGGAGGCCGGGCGCAGGGGCTCATGCCTGTAATCCCAGCACTTTGGGAGGCCAAGGTGGGTGGATCATGAGGTCAAGAGATCAAGACCATCCTGGCCAACATGGTGAAACCCCGACTCTACTAAAAATACAAAAATTAGCTGGGCATGGCGGCACGCGCCTGTAGTCCCAGCTACCTGGGAAGCTGAGGCAGGAGAATTGCTTGAACTCGGGAGGCGGAGGTTGCAGTGAGCCAAGATCTCGCCATTGTACTCCAGCCTGGCGACAGAGCGAGACTCCATCTCAAAAAAAAAAAAACAACAAAAAGAGGGGAAAGTGATCCTGCAATTGCACTGTTCAGCATCTACCCCTAAAGAAACCCTGATGCATTCACTTGGATATTTCGTCTATTAAACAGAGATGATGCCAGTACTTACTTCACACGACCATTGAGGGGAATGGCATTATTCCTTAGGAGCACCTGAAGAGCACCTAGCACATAGTAAGTGCTCAGGAAAGTAGGTCCAAAGATATTCACTGCAGATATTTTTCTAACAATGGAAAATTGGAAACAAGCTGAATGATGGAATGACTAAATAAATTGTGGTCTAGTCATACTAAGGAACACTGTGTAGCCATTAGGAATAAATTAGATTTCCACCTAAGAACAGGAGAGCTCTGTGAAACATTGTTGCTGAGCAAAAGAAGCAAATTGTAGAACACAATGTACAGCAAGATACAATTTATGGAAAGGCAATACCATAGATTTTCTATGGATTTATATTACACAAAAGAAAAAAGTCTGAAATGATTCACAGCAGTGGGGTTACATCCAGGTTAGCATGAGCAGATTGAATTGTTTGGGAGGGGTGGTCAAAAATACTTTAGTTTTATTGCTATGACTTTTATTTTATTATTTGGCGGGTGGTGAGGAGATTATGTAATACTAGGGTAATTAGGAACTAATTTGAAATGCACGAGATGCGAGAAAAAAGATAAAGAGGGTAGAAAGTGGGAATGAACTTGGTGCTTAATGAGATGGAGTTAACTTTGAGAATACCATGAAAAATAGAAATAATAAGATCTGTCTCATAAGGAGTCCTTGGACTGAAGGCTTTCCCTTGGACGAGGAAGGGAGGGATGTGCAATAACGTTAACTGCTAAACTCGTTTGCCATTTTGTTAAAGATCAACCTTGAGCTCCCCTCCAGAGCTTCCCCTTCTCATAGGAGGTGGAATAGGAGCCCCCCCGTCCCTCCATGGAAGTTTCCTCAGCCCACACTATATCCTTCGCTGCGAGTTGGTTGATTTCCTGTGATAATTAGGGCGGGTTAAACTGCCATAACAGATAAGGCAAAACATGTAATGACTCCAATATAATAGAAGTTTCTTTCTCATAGGACAGTCCAGGGTGATAAGGGAGGGGCACGAATGGGGAAGTTGAGGATGAGTGGAGTTGGGGCACAGCAGTCATTCAGGAACCCAGGCAGAAAGCAACTTTGTTCCAGTCAACACATGGTTTCCAAGAGTTTCTGGTGTTTGCAATTTCAGCTGTTTTGTAAGATTTAAAGATGGCTGGACACACCACAAAGGCATTTGGATAGATGAAAGGTAGAATTCTTTGTTACTTATAGCTCCAAACAAGAAAAGACTGCCACACAGGGCCACACAGAGATTGTGCCAGGGCTGTTTGGGTCAGCTTATGTACAGCAAGTGGAATGGGGTTAGCTAGGTTTTATGAACTCCCTGTGGACTGTCTGATTTGAGCAATTTGAGTAATTTCAGGGGGCTGTGGAGCATAGTGGTTACCCCTAGTTTTCTGGTACCTGGGGCAACCAGGGCAGTGGCCCCATATGAGTGCCCAAAACGGGAATTGGTTGAGTGATTGGGGTTGTGGACTCAATCAGCAAATCAAGAAGCAGAACTGACCAGCCTTAAGCCAGGGCCTCAAAACTTGGGTCAAGACAATATTATATTTATATAATATGTATATATGTGTGTATATATAATATATGTTATCTATATTACAGTATATATCTTTTTATATTACATATATTACAGTATATATAATTATCCATTATAGAATATGTAACATATATTACATAATATATAATTATATATTATATAACTACCTATTATATAATATGTAATATAATTAATTATATAAATATATAATAAAATCATATTATATAATCAATTAATTATAATTAATATAAAATGTATAATATATAGCATATTATATATAATTTTGTCTATTATATAATTTTACTTAAAATTAAAATTATATATTTTATATCATTATATATTATATAATGTGATATATAATAATGTATTATATATAAATATCTATTATACATAAATATTTATATAATTAGATATAAATGTATTATTATATGCATATAATTGTTTTCTTTACATCAGCCCATGGGGAGAAAGGCTAAGGCATATATAGGCCAAGCCCCAAAGTGGCCCACATCTATCCTGCCCTCATTCCATTGACCATAATGAGGTCACATGGCCAACTAGTCACATGGTCTCACATAAGTGCAAAATGACCTGAGAAATGTAGTCCCAGGAACAACTGTTCCTAAAGTTGAAGGGAAGCTCAGGTTTCAATGGGCAACTAGCTGACTCTACCAAAGGGCTGTAAATTAATCTACACTCATAATTTATTTGCTTTTTTTTTCTTGCTTTGTTCATATTTGTTTCACCTGCTTACCTGGTACGCTCCTTTAGGGCAAGGACTATGATGTTCTCTTGCTTTTTGCTTTTTCTTCTTGCTTTGTTCATATTTGTTTCACCTGCTTACCTGGTAAGCTCCTTTAGAGCAAGGACTATGATGTTCTCTTGCTTTTGATGCTTTCCCCAGCAATTAATTCTGTATCTGGTGGGGTTCTTAATGGATAATCTTCTCATTAAACAAGCCCCAAGTAATTTCAATAGGCAAAGGTAGTTGCCACTTCAGAGTCGGTGTAAATATCTGATACTTAGAATATGATTTCAGCTAGTTAAATTTATATCACTGGGGTAAAAAACAGCAACAGAAATATTATCTGGGCCTTTCACTTTTTTATTTAATTCTGAATTGGATAAAACATTTCCAATAACTTTAAGCTTTGGCATCTGTATAGCAATATTTGGTTCTTGGATTAAATCAAACAAATATTGCTAATGGGATGGTTCAACGTCATCATCACCTATAGTCATGTTTTCCGTTTCAGTTGACTACCAGGTAAAGGTAAATCAGTGCTCTCAAAAATACTTTCAGTAGTGAATTAAATTTTAAAATGTTATTTTCCTGACCTTTTCCTTTCATCTCATTTTCTGTCACACTGCCTTCATTTTCTATCATACTGCCTTTTTTTTTTTTTTTTTTGGTTTCTTAAAGACTCTTACCTTTAAAATCACTGTCAGCTTGGCATGGACATTTTCTTCAGGAAGGTTAATACTTAATGACACCAAGAAAACGGGTGAGAAGGAAACAAACCTCAGCTATGAAATCACTTACTCAACTTTCATTCAGAATTTATTGAGTGCCTAAAATATGCTGAACATAATGCAAATCCGTAAAAATACAAATAGACATCATCTCAGCCTTAGAGCTCATAGTCATAAACCCAGGCCTATGTTTCTTTTATATACATTTTTAAAATTCAAGCACCTATTCATTCAACAAATATGTATTGAGTTCTACTATGTGCCAGGCACTGCTTTGCATGCTAGAAATATACAACTAAACAAAGCAAAGATTCCTGTCCTCCTGGAGCTTATATACAAGTGGAGAGAGATAGGCAATAATTTATCTCCACTCCCTACATCTCCAATCCAGAAGTGATTTTTTTTAACCTGTGAAGTTCTCTGATATGTTAGCATCTTTCCTTTGGCAACTGCTACTATCTAGCTGGTGTATCCAAGTTGAAAAAGAACAAGGACTGGATCTTAATCTTTATATCTACCACTATGGCTAGGACAGGGTTGATAAATGCTTACTGGCTCAATGAATGAATGAATTTGTCTTTTCCCAAAAGCATAACCAGTGTAGCCAAAGCAAATGAAGACTCACAGGATGCTGAATGGGCTTTTTTAATTTCCATTATCTGAAGGTATACTAGTCCATTTTCATACTGCTATGAAGAAATACCCAAGACTGGGTAATTTATAAAGAAAAGTAGGTTTAATGGACTCACAGTTCCACATGACTGGGGAGGCCTCACAATCATGGTAGAAGGCAAAGGAAGAGCAAGTCATGTCTTACTTGGAGGCAGGCAAGAGGGCGTGCGCAGGGGAACTGCCCTTTATAAAACCAAAAGGTCTCATGAGACTTATTTTCTTTTTCCTTTCGTTTTTTTTTTTGAGACAGAGTTTTGCTCTTGTCACCCAGGCTGGAGTGCAATGGCGTGTTCTTGGCTCACTGCAACCTCCACCTCCCGGGTTCAAGTGATTCTCCTTTCTCCTGCCTCCGCCTCCTGAGTAGGGGTATTACAGGTGCCCGCCACCATGCCCAGCTAATTTTTATATTTTTACTAGGGGCGGGGTTTCACCAGATTGGCCAGGCTGGTCTCAAACTCCTGACCTCAGGTGATCCGCCCGTCTCAGCCTCCCAAAGTGCTGGGATTACAGACGTGAGCCACCGCACCTGGCTGAGACTTATTTTCTATCATGAAAACAGCACGGGAAAACCCGCCTCCATGATTCAATTATCTCTCACTGGGTCCCTCCGATGACACGTGGGGATTATGGGAGCAATAATGCAAGATGAGATTTGGGTGGGGACACAGAACCAAACCATATCAGAGGGCAACAAAGTAACCAGAAGCCAGATGGGATTTGCTTCCACACCCCTACCCTGCCTTCTCCCTGGCTGGTTTGGGGGCTGGGATGGAAGGGCACAGGAGCAGACTACATCTACCATTGTAGATTGCATCACAAGTAAATTTTGCAATGGGCTTTATATCATGATTTTTTATTCTCAAGGGAGAATTTTAATTCTATAGTTATCATAACAGTATGAGAAATATCTGGAAAACTTCAAGGCATGTCTGGGACATTGTGGACAACCCTTTGTGCCTAGGGAGCATGTGTGTTTAGGGATGGATTGCAAGGTGGCTGATAGAAATACGGATGGAACATCTTACTGGGGTTACTCCAAAAAATTTGAACTTTATCAAAAGACAGTGGGAAGCCATCAAATGATTTTTTTTTTAAGTTCCAGGGTACATAGGCAGGTTTGCTGCACCTATCAACCCATCACCTAGGTATTAAGCCCAGCATGCATTAGCTATTTTTCCTAATGCTCTCCCTTCCCCACCACCCCACCCCCGACAGGCCCCAGTGTGTGTTGTTCCCTTCCCTGGGTCCATGTGTTCTCATTGTTCAGCTCCCATGTATAAATGAGAACATGTGGTGTTTGGTTTTCTGTTCCTGTGTTAGTTTGCTGAGGATAATGGCTTCCAGCTCCATCCATGCCCCTGCAAAGGACATGATCTTATTCCTCTTTATAGCCACGTAGTATTCCATGATGTATATGTACCACATAGATGCAGTGATGCTGCAGATACATAGGAATGCTATCAGTTCAACCATTGTGGAAGATGGTGTGGCGATTCCTCAAAGATCTAGAACCAGAAATACCATTTGACCTAGCAATCTCATTACTGGGTGTAAACCCAAAGGAATATAAATCATTCTGTTACAAAGATACATGCATGCATATGTTCATTGCAGCACTATTCACAATAGCAACACGGAATTAACCCAAATGCCCATTAATGATAGACTGCATCAAAGGATTTTGAGTGAGGAAGTGTCATGATCAGTTGAACCAGATACTAGTCTTTTAGGAAGCATGAAGTTTGGATGGGGAAAGAATAGGACAAGAAGACAATCAGGAAGCTTCCCAACCATCCAGGGAAGGGATAATGAAGTGTGAACAAGAGCAATAGCCGCAGCCAAGGGAGGCTCTGAAGAGGGGCAATGTTAAGATCTCAGGGACCCCTATGTGCTGAGGGTGAGGGAAAAAGAGAATGCAAAGATGACGTCAAGACTTAGAGTCTAAGAGACTGAGCTATAAACCTACTAACAAAAGCAGGGAATACAAATAAAAAGGAGATTTTGTGAGGATGGTTATGAATTCAATGTTGGAAATGTTGGGTTTGAGTTGCCAGAAAAAAATCCATATGGAGATACCCAGTAAGCGGTTGGAAACTCAGTCTCACGAGCTTTGTAGAGGGCTCCAAGGAAGAGAAGCAGGTCCCTGAGCTGCTCCAAGACTGTCGGCTAAAGCCACAGAATAGATGCACTTGCTTAAGGAGTGCACGATGAAAAGGGAGGAGGCCCTGGAGAGAACTTTTGGGACCTGTGCTATAGGAAAAGGAAGAAATGGAGGGAGTGAGGGAGGGAGGACAGTCAGTGAAAACAAAAAAAGAGCAGTGGGTCTTAAACTGTAGAGGGTAGAAAAAGTACCCAGAGATGTTAATGCAAACTGTGAGGCCATCCTGAGGCTGTCCCTGGGGAACCAGATTCAGTAGGCCCAGGACGGGGTCTAGGGACATGCAGCTTAAAGCACACACCCGCTTCCTTTTCTATTGATGTAATTACCCCAAAATTCAGCATCTTAAAAAACAAGGAAACATTTTTGATCTCATGGTTTCTATAAATCAGGAATCTGGCTCCAGGCATCTGGCGAGGTTGCAGTCAAGTTGTCGGCTGGGCTGCAGTGATCTGAAGATTTAACTCGGCTAAAGGATCCAAATGAAGATGAGTGTCCTCATAACACGGCATCTGGCTCCCCAGGAGCAAGTGATCCATGAGAGAAAGGCAGAGACCACAAGATCTTTTATGACAAATCCTCATAAGTCACACTTGTCGTGTCTGCAAAATCCTATCGTTTACATAGATGAGCTGAATTCAGTGTGGGAGGAGAGGTCGCAAGGGTGACAGGAGACACAATCAGGAGGCCCACCTTGGAGAATAAACATGTTCTTACACCTCTAGACTGATTTTGACACCAATGGCTCTTGGAGGGCCGGGTGCTGTGGCTCACGTCTGTAATCCCAGCAGGCATGGGATTGTGAGACCAAGGTAGCAGGATGGCTTTAGCCCAGGAGTTTGAGACCAGCCTGGGAAACAGTGAGACCATGTCTCTACAAAAATTTTAAAAGTTAGCTGGGCATGTTGGCATGTGCCTATAGTCCCAGCTACTCAGGGGGCTGAGGCAGGAGGATTGCTTGAGCCTGGGAGGTCAAGGCTACAGTAAGTCATAATCCAACCACTGCACTCCAGTCTGGGCAACAAAGTGAGACTGTTTTTTAAAAAAAGAACCCAAGTGACCCTTGGAGAAACACTGGGTGGAGAGAAGAAAAAGTAAGCAAAGTAAGTCAAGGAAGGAAAGAAATTCAGTCGAATGGAAGGTGGACCTCAGTGCCAAATAGGTCCAAGAAATCAAGATGAGACTGAGAAGAGACCACTGGATTTGGCCTCTAGGACATAGTCTTGACCTTCTAAACTCTAAAACAACACTTCTAGAGAAACACAACTTTTTTAGAAAATGCAACCTATGGTAAGAAATATATTTTACTTCAACACCTGGTACATAGTTCACCCATAGAAACAAACATTTCACGACTTCATATCTACCTCTACTACATGAAAACCACTCATATTTCTTATTCTATTGTAAAGTATTTCTTTTTAAAAAATACTAGCCAAAGTCCACGAAATTAATGTTGTTGATTATTAATGCATCTTGAGCTGAAGTTTGAAAAAACAATGTGAACATGTCTGAATAACAAAGATGATGATGATGACGATAACTACAAGAAGCAAATTTTGAGTGTTTATGCTAGGAGTATACACTATCTGCTAAATGTAATGCTACGAATTATCTCATCCATGACAAACCTATACTTCAGTACTACTATCACAACTTTAGATGAAGAAGTTGAATACTTAAAGAACTTAAGTAAGTTGCCCAAGGTCATATGGTTCAGAGATCAAAACTATAGTTTATTTTAATCTAAGCAATATGACTTCAGAGCTCACATTTTATAACTCTGCTGTCCAATATGGAGGGCACCAGCCACACGTGCCTCTTTTAATTTTAATAAGTTAGAATTAAATAAAATTAAAAGTCTATTTCCTCAGTCATGCCAGCCATATTTCATGTGCTCAGTAACTACCTGTGGGCTCCATATTGGATAGCACAGATACAGCGCATTTCCCTTATCTCAGAAAGTTCTGTTGGACAGTGCTGCCCTAGAGCTAAACTATAAGGGTCATGGGAGATGGAAGTCACCTGAACATAGTTGTAAGGAGAGAGAGAAAAGAAGAAAGAGGAGTCAAAATAGGGGATGCAGGAGACAGCAAGGGCCTGGGGAAGATGGAGGTACAGAATTAGAGTAGGGGGAATGGGCTTTGGCAAGAGACAGGGTCAATTTCCACCCTGTGTCAGAAAGGAGGAGAAAATGGATGAAGACCCAGAGGAAGGGGAAGTTGAGGAAGTTTGCTTTGATGACCTTGATCTTGTTTAAAATGTAGGGGCTGAGAACAGGAGCAAAGAGTGAGTGGGCAAAAGTGTGGACAGGGGCTTGAGTCAGATAGAAAAGATTAGAAATCATCCCTGCACTAGATGCACATATGCAAATAGAGGCACTGACACCTACCACTGACTGGCTTAGCAGTGCGTAGACACTGTGAATTTTTATTTTTTATAGTTTTGTTTTTGGTTTTTTTTTTTTGAGACAGAATCTCATTCTGTCACTTAGGCTGGAGTGCGGTGGTGCAATCTCTGCTCACTGCAATCTCCGCCTCCCGGGTTCAAGCAACTCTCCTGCCTCAGCCTCCCGAATAGCTGGGATTACAGGTGCCTGCCACCATGCCACCAGGTAATTTATGTATTTTTAGTAGAGACGGGGTTTCACCATGTTGGCCAGGCTGGTCTCGAACTACTGACCTCAAGTGATTCTCCCACCTCAGCCTCCCAAAGTGCTGGGATTACAGGCATGAGCCACTGCACCCAACCTTTAGACACTGATTTTTTTTTTTTTTTTTGAGGCAGAGTCTTGCTCTGTCTCCCAGGCTGGAGTGCAGTGGCGCAATCTCGGCTCACTGCAACCTCCGCCTCCTGAGTTCAAGTGATTCTCCCACCTCAGCCTTCCGAGTAGCTGGGACTACAGGCATGTGCCACCACTCTAGCTAATTTTTTCTATTTTTAGTAGAGACAGAGTTTCACCGTGTTAGCCAAGATGGTCTCAATCTCCTGACCTCGTGATCCACCTGCCTCGGCCTCCCAAAGTGCTGGGATTACAGGCATGAGCCACTGTGAATTTTTAGTGCAGTCAATCATTTATTTCATTCATTCAACAAATATTTATCAAGTTCCTGAGTGGGGGTGAAAAAAGCAGGTGAGATCCTTTCTCTCGTGGAACTTACTGGAGGATGACTTGGTTAATCAAATCTTCACAGAACTCTCAAGTGTAGGCCTGCAATGAACACACCCACCAAGGCGAGAAGCTGCTACTCTAAAGGAGCTGTGAGAGTGTATAGTAGAGAATTTAATCTGATCAGGGATGGCTTTGTCTGAACCAAGACTTCAAGAAGGAACCCCATTCCATGCAAAGGGGAGAACAGTTAATGACTCTCACCAGAGGTATGGCCGTGCAGAGACCCAGGTAGGTGGAGGAAGGTGCTTTCAAACGGTTCTTGTGGACAGAAGCAGTTGCTGAATGCACAGACAGGGCCACCCACAGTTTCTGAATTCTACTCCAGCCCCATGTGTGGGTGGCTTTGAGTGAAAAGAACACTATGAGTTGCCCACTGAAAATTCTTTCATAGTATAATAAATCTGCTGGATGCAGAGGCTAGAATTTAAGTGGGCTGAGGGTGCCCTACCCTACCTAACATCAGCAAAGGATTCACAATGCACAGCATATTACAATATATGCACAGTTAGCCATCACAGGAAACCATCCATCACCAGAATTCTATTGCAGTGCTATCTTCCCTCACTTCTATCTTTCTGAAAAACAAATTTCCTTTAAGGTTGAAAACTTCATGCTCAATTTTAGCAAAAACCGAAAACATTTTAAAAATGGAACTTTAAAAGCCTCACACATTTTTTTAAAGTTTCAACAAAGCACGTTCTTTAAAATTAAAAATAAAATTATTCAATGTAATGCCTATGTGATGCTGAGGATGAAGGAACTCCAAAGTGGATACGTTATTAAGCGAGACTATTTCCTCAAGTTTCCACTGGGTCAATGTCTTCCTGTGTTTTAACATTACAAACTATTTGTAATAACATTTCAAAAATCAGCAACTTTATCACACCGTTTTGTGTTTCTGTGTCAGTTTTGAGTGATCCAGTAACTGCAGCTCAGTCCTGTTATCTCCCTGTGGAATTGAACTCACTGTCAACTCTAAGCATACTTATTTCGAGTTCTTCCTTTCTTCATAAGAATTGGTTAATTATCATCTCCTGCTTTTAATTGCATGAAGTTTACAAATGTGAAAAACATTAAAATCCTAAGGTGCAGCAAAACTAGAAGTGTTTAAAATACTCTTATGCTGTCCAGGCTACACGTGATTTTCTCTGGCTATAATTATGCAGTCCTAGCAAGAAGGCCATCCGGTGTGAGGTTGGGGTGAGGGACCAGGATCTGATCCTGACTCCCCTGCCGACTAATTTCGTGATCTTGAGCAATTCCCTCTTAGAAAGAACAGTTGGCCCAGAAAGAACAGTTCCTATTTCACATAGTTGTGGTAGGGTTTGCACATAAAGCACTTAGAGCCATGATCTAACACCCGCTCAATATGTATCTGCCACCATTTTTATACATATAACCTCTCATACTCATGGAATATTTGCATTGTGGGTAAGTGATTGTTTCCATGGTAACAACTTTCCTATTTCTAGGCCCTTATCCCACTATTTTCTTTTTTTAAAAAAGAAGTTTATAGGCTGCAGTTTTCATTCTTAGCACTACATTAACATGAGTTTTTCACTTATTGCCCTGGGTGTTTGCATACTTTTTTTTTTTTTTTTCACTGTTTTGCAGGTCTGATATTTTTAACCAGTCCATATCTCATAGGCTCATGTAGAGAGTGGTCCTGTACTGTATTCTCAGATACTGTTACTTAGGGGAATGTTTTCCTGTGTAGTGAGGAAAAAGTGGAGGTGGGGCATAAAAGAACAGAAATCCTGTGAAATTGTACTGCAAAACTGATTTTTGAAAATTAATAATTGCCGCATATGGTAGCTCATGCTTGTAATCCAAGCACTTTGGGAGGCTGAGGCAGGTAGATCACTTGAGCCTGGGAGTTTGAGAGCAGGCTGGACACCATGGTGAAACCCTGTCTCTACAAAAAATACAACAATTAGCCAGGCATGGTGCTGCATGCCTGTAGTCCTAGCTACTCAAGAGGCTGAGGTGGGAGAATCACTTGAGCCTGGGAGGTCGAAGCTGCAGTGAGATCACACCACTGCATTCCCGCCTGGTGACAGAGTGAGACTCTGTCTAAAAAAAAAAAGAGAGAGAGAGAGAGAAAGAAAACTGGCCAGGCACGGTGGCTCATGCCTGTAACCCCAGCACTTTGGAAGGTCAAGGTGGGCAGATCACATGAGGTCAGGAGTTCGAGACCAGCCTGGCCAACATGGTGAAAACCCATCTCTACTAAAAATACAAAAATTACCTGGGCATGGTGGTGCACGCCTATAGTCCCAGTTTCTTGGGAGGCTGAGGCAGGAGAATCACTTGGACCCGGGAGGCAGAGGTTGCAGTGAGCCAAGATTGCGCCACTGCACTCCAGCCTGGGCGACAGAGTGAGACTCTGTCTCAAAAACAAAACAAAACAAAAAGGAAATTAATAATTTACCCTATCATCCAGCCATTAAGGAAAAAAAGAACTTTCCACATAAATATTATCCTCTTAGTAAAGGTGGTTTCAAAGCAATACATTTATATAGAATAAAAATTACCTAAATATTAAAAGCTTGTGCTTACTACATGAATATTGGGGAACCTCAATTAATCTACAGCAGCTCTGTCCAAAGGACATGTACTGTGATATCTATTGTATATGCACATGTGCAATTTTTATTAGGAGCCACTTTAATATAAGTAACAAGAAACATGAAATTAATCTCAGTAATACATTTAATCTAGCCTAATGGGTTCAAAATACTATCATCTCAGCATGTAACCAATATAAAAAAAAGTATTGAGATATTTTACATTTTTTCATACTGCTTTTGAGATCCAGTGTGTATTTTATACTTACAGCACACATCAATTCAAATTATTCATGCTCAAGGGCACCTACCATGTATGAGTACGGGCTGCCATATTAGACAGAGTAGCTATAGCTTTTTTCTCCCATTTGACCCATCCCAGAATTAGATGCTCTGCTAAGACATCGAATTGGAAGTCACCACAACAGCTAACAATCTGTTCTGAGGAAGGGCGTGGAACGCATTTCAATTCCACAGATGAATTTGAATTGTGGGGTCAGAGCACATTCTGCCATATTTGCCAAGTCTCCAACAAATTAGGAGGTCCAGGTCTTCATTTGGCAGAAGGCTCACATTCTAAGGCATCCAGCAAAATACATTGAGGATTTTTTTCTGCCAAATAAAAATGATTGTTCTTAGTATCAAGGGAATGTTTGGCAGTGTAGCATTTGCAAAACATCTCCTTCGTCTGCCCCAGGAAAGAGCTGACTTTAGCTTCCAGCCTGGGATCCTCTGAGGGGTCTCCATAACAGGCTACAGATGCAGGTGAGGAAGATTTCCTTGGCTCTGTGACGATGTGCTAAGGCTTGGAGCTTCCCCACCAGGACCCTCAAAGGAAGAGGTTTCTCTTTCAAGTTTTGGTGGTTTACTCCAGACATTCTATTTGCTGTTCTGTGTAGGGGTCACTTGTTATTATAACTTCTTTTACCAAATTTCCAAGATTGTTGTCTTCAAGATCACCTAGACTGGAGATCTGCTATCACTGCCACTTGGGTTAGAAACCCTCCTTCTCCATATCAAAGCATCCCCATGACATGAACCCTCAAACTCTGACCTGTTCCTCCAATCCATTCCTTCCTGTCCCCTGGCTATTGCCCTGGTTTGCGTTTCCTTATTGCCCACCCAGACTGCTGAACCAGCCTACTAATTGATCATCCACGCTGCTGCCAGGGTGAGCTTTCTAAAATCTAGATCCCATTGGGTTTCTTTCCTGGTTTCAAGAGTTTTATTGACTTCTCCCTGTGATCTATACAGTGGATTTCAACCCTCATAAAAAAGGATTGAAACAGAAGAACCCCAAATTTTTTCAGTGAAGTGTTATCAGGAGCTCCAAGATATAAAACAGATAAAGTCTAAGCTGCCCTGGGTAAAGCAAGGACAGAGGCCTCAGAGCCTGCCCTAAAGTCCTCCAGCCCTGCCCCTCTGGGCCCAACACAGCTCTGAGGAATCCCGGAACTCTTCCGGACACAGCTGGGATGCTGCAGCCCAGCGGGAGGATGTCTATGCTTCCTGGCTTGGCATAGCAGGCCCTCCAGAATCTGCCCCAGCCTACCTTTCTGGCCTCATCACCTGCCACTTCACTGCACACACTCTCCATGCCCCTGCTACACAAATCACACAACCCCAATGTGCCAGGCATTCGAGGCTCCACACTGCAGTCCATGCAGCTTCCTCGGCCTGGTGTCTTCCTGCTCATCCCTGTCTGGACAATCCTAACTGTCCTTCCAGGTTTCACTCCAGTGTCATCCTGTATGGAGCCCTCTCTTATAAACAATTCAGACAGAGCACACCCCCACCTTCCCCTGGGAAATCTGTTAAGGTGAACTGTTTAACCACTTAAAACATCTGCTACCCAGACCTGTTTCTCATAGCAATATCATCTTTCTAATCCTGGCCCAGATTATCAATAAATGTGTGTGACATTATGAAGTGAAGACTGTGTCCTTTATTCCATCGTCAGCAGAGGTGAGTGAGCCATACACAATTCCCTGAGGAATCCTGAGAACCTTCAGAGGAAGCAAGAGGCCAAAGAGCCCCGAACTGGAAATCTGAGCCCTTGGGTTCTCATTCTGACTCCATCCCAAACTAAGTCTTTAAATTCAGCTCTACGCTGCCATGGTTTTAGTGCTCTTGGCATAATGATAATGATGATTCTAATGGCTAATATTTATAAGGCAGCTACCACATGCAGACAGACACTGCTCTAAGCATTTTTCATGGATTAACTCATTTTTGCTTTACAGAACAAAGGCTGAAGCATTTACTAGATTGAACCCTTTCTCCAGCTGCATTTGGGACTGAAAGAGACTTTACAGGGATGAGGAAAGGTGAAATGACTGCTCAGGTGACTCAGCTGCTAGCAGAACTGGCTGGTGGCAGGTCTCCTGGCTTTCAGGTGAGTATACTTTCACCCACATAACACTGCTCTATGGGAGTAGCCTGGGTATTGACCTGTCCCTGCAAAATGTTTTACAAAGCATCAACAGAGAGATATGACACTCAGCTATCAGCACAACTCAATACATGAAAAAAATTTCCTAACTTCAAAAGTTAAATGATTCCATTCAAATTTGGTTTACTTTTTAAATTACCATCTAGTAAGGACTATATTCACATAAAATAATTTATTTAACAAGGATACAAATGGTGCCAATAAAATCTAGGGTAGAAAAACTTCTTATCCCCAGCTATAGACATGCTGGTGAGATCCTAACCAGGCAGAGTGGCTCCTTCCACTGTAGTTAAGGCTGCTACCACGTGGCTTCAAGGACATGGTGTCCATGACCCTCTGCTGTACATCAGATCATAATTCTCTTAAAAGCATGGCTCAATTTAAAGTGTATTCCCCGAGAGGCAGGCAGCACGCTATCATGGAAAGAGAAGTAAATCTGAAGTCAAAACTCCTGCCATTGACCAAGTGACCCTGGGGAAATCAGTTAATATGGCCAAGTCCCAGATTTGTCCAGTGGAAAATATTATCAAGGCTATTGGTCCTTCCTAGCTGGGGTTGCTGTGATGCTTCAAGGAGACGTGAATGAAGAGGACTGGTGTGGGTAAATACTCATTTTTCTTCTTTAAGGAATGGTCATACTTGGAGAATGCTATCCAGAACTGTTTCCTCATTGCAACCCTGCCTTAGTCTCTTCCAGATGCTATTAACAAAATACCACAGATTGGGTGGCATATAAATGAATGAAATTTATTTCTCACCATTTTGAAGGCTAAGAAGTCCAAGATCAAGACATCAGATTTGGTGTCTGGTGAGGATCCTCTCCCTGGTTCAGAGATGGCCATCTTTTCACTGTGTCCTCGCGTGACAGAAGGGATGAGGGATTACTCTGGGGCTCCTTTTATAAGGGCACTAATCCCATTGATGAGGGCTCCACCCATATGACCTAATCACCTCCTAATACTATCACCTTGAGGGTTAGAATTTTAACATATGAATTTGGGGGAAACACAAACCTTCAGACCACAGCAACCCCAGAGAAGAGAAATGACTTAGCCAAGATCCACAGTATGATGTGGACACGACAGAGCTTGGAGTCTCCCCTTTCTAGCACTCTATCCTTTACTTAAACTATTTTAGGATTACATTAATTTCATTCTTTTCTTAAGCTAGGAATCTGCAGAAATATTTGTAAATTCATATATTACTTTAAGTCTTAACACTTTGTTTTTGAGACAAAGTCTCACTCTTGCCCAGGCTGGGGTGCAGTGACACAATCATGGCTCACTGCAGCCTCAAATTCCTGGGCTCAAGCAATCCTTCTACCTCAGCTTCCAGAGTAGCTGGCACTACAAATGCACCCACCATGTCCAGCTAATTTTTAAAATTTTTATATAGAAGCAGGATCTCTCTATGTTGCCCAGACTGGTCTAAGTCCTGGGCTCAAGGAATCCTCCTGCCTTGCCTTCCCAACATGCTAGGATTACAGGCATGAGCCACCACCCAGCCCAACCCTTAAAACTTTTAACTGACGCTTAGCATGGCACCAAAATAATATTTATTGAATGTATTCTGGTGCCAACCTCTGGATGCATAATTTCATCTGACCCTCACAACAGTCCTGCAATGCCCATATGATGAGGCCCCACTTCCCATTCCACCTTGCTGGAACTGGAGGTCAGGGAAACTTAGGGAATTTGCCCAAGAGCCCATGAGTGAAGAGTGGTAGAGGAGATTCAAATTCTTTTTCTCTACCAGATCCAGTGCTTTTCCCATTAGCCAAGGGTGCCTCAACAAGGAACGAGAATCCCACAAAATTGGAGGAAAAGGGAAAAAAAAATGTGATTTCAACATGGTGTTCACTAATGCTATTGCAGAAATGTGCACGCAGCATTCACATTTTGACAAAAGCAGTAATTACCATATTAGGAAATAGAGTCGTCTTCTACCTTTTCTAAAAATCTTAAAAAGTAAACATTAAAGCATACTTTGGGCTTGCTAACTTAAAAGGCAAATGGGTGGTGTCGCGTCCACAGCCGTTCTATTTGACCACATTGCAGAGGTACACACGTGCAGGACGGTGATTCTGCAGCTAAGGGTACCTCCTCCCTGAGACTGCACCCCGGCCCTTCTCCCCACCCCTTCCATTCTGAGGGTGACGCCTTCACCTGGGCTCTCTTAAAATCCTGCTGTTTGTGTGCAAATGCGAGTTCAAATTTCTCCCTGAAACACTGGTGGGGGACACTATGCACCCTCAGCTTTAAATGTCACCCTGATTTCCTACATATTCCCTCCTCCAACATACAACCCCTCTCTCCCCCACCCGACCCCCACCACCCCCATCCCCAGCCTCCTGTCCTTCCCATTCCAGGTGCTCCGGGTGCTAGCAAAGCTGGGGTGGGCGGCGCCGGGCAAGGTCTGAAGACTGCGAGGACCCAGCTGCCAGGCGCATTGTGAAGTGGCCCGAGCGTCACAGGCGACCCGGACCTCGGGACCGGGGGGCAGGGCGGGTGTCTGCAGCGTCCTCGGGAGGTCTCAGGCCCCTTGGGCAGACGCTGCGCGTGCCCAGAGGGAGGGATGGCAGGCTTCAGCCACTTCTCCCAGCCGCCCTACCGGGATCTCTGGGAACCCCCGCGGCCCGGCGGAGAACGAGAGTCCACGCAGCGGCTGGGCGGGCAGAGGTCCGGAGCCGACTCCACCGCGTGCTCCCGGGCCGGGACTCCGGGTGCGGAGAGCGAAGCTGGGGCGTGCTGGCTGCACCCGCACTGTTCGTTCACCCCGCGGCCTCGCAGGCGCGGGTGCTCAGATTCACTGCGGGGCAGCCGAAGCCTGAGCGATGTGGCCCGCAGGCCCCTGGAACGTTCCAGGAAGCACCGGCCCCGCAGCAGGCGCCTGGAAGATGCCTGGGGAGAGACAGGAACCAAGCCCCGCCCGGCTTGGCAGCCGCAGACCCAGCTGCCACCCCAGCGGCCGCAGCCCTGCCCGCATTACCCTCTGGCCCAGGGAGACTCGCCCCCGCCTTGCCCCGGAGGAGCTGGCACTCCCCTGAGTGGCACATTCAGGGTAGAAAAGGCACAGGGTGGAGACCAGTGGGCAGTGCCACTCGGCAGACATCTAGGTCGCTGGTCCCCTTCCTCAGTTCCCTCGGAGCGGTCTTCTGTGCCCTCGCAAAAGTTCAAGAGGCACTCAGCCTGCGTGTGCGCCCAGAAGAGAGACAGCAGCGACCAGGTTGAGTCATTAGCCAGCCGGGACTCCCAGCCCTTGGCCTCCAGCAAAGAGATGCGGAGCCCGCACACCCAGGTCCTGAAGAGCAAGCTGGAAGAGGTGGTGGTGTCCTCCCAGGACCAGCAGATTGTGGCCCTGGTGCTGACCCGTCTCAAGAAGGCCCAGAGGATACGGGAGCTGCAGCAGCAGGCGGCTAAGGCCTGGGAGGAGCTGAAGCGCTCGGATCAGAAGGTCCAGATGACCCTGGAGCGGGAGCGCCGGCTGCTGCTGCGGCAGAGCCAGGAGCAGTGGCAGGAGAAGGAGCAGCGCAAGACCCTCCAGAGCCCTGAGCAGCGCGGCCTGCGGCGGGACAGCCAGAGGAAGAACGTGCCCCCGGGGGAAAGCCGGTGGAAGGAGCAACCAGAGGACCAGGAGAGCCCGCGCCAGGAGAAGCTGGAGAAGGCGCGCGCCCAGGCAGAGCACCGAAAACAGTGCCAGGTGCGGCGCCTGCGGGAGCAGGAGAAGATGCTACGGAACCTCCGGGAGCAGCACAGCCTGCAGCTGCAGAGGAGGCTGGTGGAAGCCTGTCGCAAGAGGCACCTACATGCCGTGGAGGGCCAGAAGAAGGTCCAGGACACCAACCTGAGCTCCCTCATCAATTACCAGGCCCGGAAGGTCCTCATGGACTGCCAGGCCAAGGCTGAGGAGCTCCTTAGGCAGCTGTCCCTGGAACAAAGTTTCCAGCGGTCCCAGGAGATACACCAGGGCCTGAGGAAGGAGCGGCAACGCGAGCTGAGGGAGAAGGCCCAGAAGGAGGAAGAGCAGTTGCAGCAGGCCAGGTGGCGCGCAGGGGAGTCAGAGGAACAGAGGAAGATGCGCAAAAGAATTCTGGTGGAGCTGGCGGATGAGAAGATCCGACAGGCCAGGAGTCACGTGCACAAGACCACTAGGGACAAGGTGCAGCACCTCCGGGAGCTCAACCACCTGAGGGAGAAAAACCACCACATCCTGAAACTGAAAGCCGAGAAGGAGGAAAAGTGTCACATTGAGGGCATCAAGGAGGCCATTAAGAAAAAGGAGCAGAGGGTGCAGCACATTTCCCAAGGGAAAGACCCAAACTTCCAGGAGTTCCAGAAGCTCCCTCAGGCCTCCAGGAGAGAGGAGAGAGCGCCTCCCAACAGCTCCCTTGATCAGATGGTACTAGAGGCCCAGCTCCGTGCCTGTCAGCAGAACAGGGGTTACTGAGAACCAAGGACGCCTGGCTTACAGTGCGCAGCCAGAAGGAGATGTGGCAATGTGATTCCTTTTGTAATCTGATTATAATTGAACATTGATTTTAAAAAAGCATGTAAAATAGCTGCAATTTCCTCTCATGAACTGGTTTATTGATTCACTTGGATAGTTTAGAGGGTCGGAGAGAAAATTTTGGGAATTTTTGTTTTTTTAAATTATACTTTAAGTTTTAGGGTACATGTGCACATTGTACAGGTTAGTTACATATGTATACATGTGCCATGCTGGTGCGCTGCACCCACTAACTCGTCATCTAGCATTAGGTATATCTCCCAATGCTATCCCTCCCCCCTCCCCCCTCCCCACCACAGTCCCCAGAGTGTGATATTCCCCTTCCTGTGTCCATGTGATCTCATTGTTCAATTCCCACCTATGAGTGAGAATATGCGGTGTTTGGTTTGTTGTTCTTGCGATAGTTTACTGAGAATGATGGTTTCCAATTTCATCCATGTCCCTACAAAGGACGTGAACTCATCATTTTTTATGGCTGCATAGTATTCCATGGTGTATATGTGCCACATTTTCTTAATCCAGTCTATCATTGTTGGACATTTGGGTTGGTTCCAAGTCTTTGCTATTGTGAATAATGCCGCAATAAACATACGTGTGCATGTGTCTTTATAGCAGCATGATTTATAGTCCTTTGGGTATATACCCAGTAATGGATGGCTGGGTCAAATGGTATTTCTAGTTCTAGATCCCTGAGGAATCGCCACACTGACTTCCACAATGGTCGAACTAGTTTACAGTCCCACCAACAGTGTAAAAGTGTTCCCATTTCTCCACATCCTCTCCAACACCTGTTGTTTCCTGACTTTTTAATGATTGCCATTCTAACTGGTGTGAGATGATATCTCATAGTGGTTTTGATTTGCATTTCTCTGATGGCCAGTGATGATGAGCATTTTTTCATGTGTTTTTTGGCTGCATAAATGTCTTCTTTTGAGAAGTGTCTGTTCATGTCCTTTGCCCACTTTTTGATGGGGTTGTTTTTTTCTTGTAAATTTGTTGGAGTTCATTGTAGATTCTGGATATTAGCCCTTTGTCAGATGAGTAGGTTGCGAAAATTTTCTCCCATGTTGTAGGTTGCCTGTTCACTCTGATGGTAGTTTCTTTTGCTGTGCAGAAGCTCTTTAGTTTAATTAGATCCCATTTGTCAATTTTGGCTTTTGTTGCCATTGCTTTTGGTGTTTTGGACATGAAGTCCTTGCCCACGCCTGTGTCCTGAATGGTAATGCCTAGGTTTTCTTCTAGGGTTTTTATGGTTTTAGGTCTAACGTTTAAATCTTTAGTCCATCTTGAATTGATTTTTGTATAAGGTGTAAGGAAGGGATCCAGTTTCAGCTTTCTACATATGGCTAGCCAGTTTTCCCAGCACCATTTATTAAAAAGGGAATCCTTTCCCCATTGCTTGTTTTTCTCAGGTTTGTCAAAGATCAGATAGTTGTAGGTAAGCGGCATTATTTCTGAGGGCTCTGTTCTGTTCCATTGATCTATATCTCTGTTTTGGTACCAGTACCATGCTGTTTTGGTTACTGTAGCCTTGTAGTATAGTTCGAAGTCAGGTAGTGTGATGCCTCCAGCTTTGTTCTTTTGGCTTAGGATTGACTTGGCGATGTGGGCTCTTTTTTGGTTCCATATGAACTTTAAAGTAGTTTTTTCCAATTCTGTGAAGAAAGTCATTGGTAGCTTGATGGGGATGGCATTGAATCTGTAAATTACCTTGGGCAGTATGGCCATTTTCATGATATTGATTCTTCCTACCCATGAGCATGGAATGTTCTTCCATTTGTTTGTATCCTCTTTTATTTCCTTGAGCAGTGGTTTGTAGTTCTCCTTGAAGAGGTCCTTCACATCCCTTGTAAGTTGGATTCCTAGGTATTTTATTCTCTTTGAAGCAATTGTGAATGGGAGTTCACTCATGATTTGGCTCTCTGTTTGTCTGTTGTTGGTGTATAGGAATGCTTGTGATTTTTGTACATTGATTTTGTATCCTGAGACTTTGCTGAAGTTGCTTATCAGCTTAAGGAGATTTTGGGCTGAGACAATGGGGTTTTCTAGATAAACAATCACGTCGTCTGCAAACAGGGACAATTTGACTTCCTCTTTTCCTAATTGAATACCCTTTATTTCCTTCTCCTGCCTGATTGCCCTGGCCAGAACTTCCAAAACTATGTTGAATAGGAGCGGTGAGAGAGGGCATCCCTGTCTTGTGCCAGTTTTCAAAGGGAATGCTTCCAGTCTTTGCCCATTCAGTATGATATTGGCTGTGGGTTTGCCATAGATAGCTCTTATTATTTTGAAATACGTCCCATCAATACCTAATTTATTGAGAGTTTTTAGCATGAAGGGTTGTTGAATTTTGTCAAAGGCTTTTTCTGCATCTATTGAGATAATCATGTGGTTTTTATCTTTGGCTCTGTTTATATGCTGGATTACATTTATTGATTTGCATATATTGAACCAGCCTTGCATCCCAGGGATGAAGCCCACTTGATCATGGTGGATAAGCTTTTTGATGTGCTGCTGGATTCGGTTTGCCAGTATTTTATTGAGGATTTTTGCATCGATGTTCATCAAGGATATTGGTCTAAAATTCTCTTTTTTGGTTGTGTCTCTGCCCAGCTTTGGTATCAGAATGATGGTGGCCTCATAAAATGAGTTAGGGAGGATTCCCTCTTTTTCTATTGATTGGAATAGTTTCAGAAGGAATGGTACCAGTTCCTCCTTGTACCTCTGGTAGAATTCGGCTGTGAATCCATCTGGTCCTGGACTCTTTTTGGTTGGTAAACTATTGATTATTGCCACAATTTCAGCTCCTGTTATTGGTCTATTCAGAGATTCAACTTCTTCCTGGTTTAGTCTTGGGAGAGTGTATGTGTCGAGGAATTTATCCATTTCTTCTAGATTTTCTAGTTTATTTGCGTAGAGGTGTTTGTAGTATTCTCTGATTGTAGTTTGTATTTCTGTGGGATTGGTGGTGATATCCCCTTTATCATTTTTTATTGTGTCTATTTGATTCTTCTCTTTTTTCTTTATTAGTCTTGCTAGCGGTCTATCAATTTTGTTGATCCTTTCAAAAAACCAGCTCCTGGATTCATTGATTTTTTGAAGGGTTTTTTGTGTCTCTATTTCCTTCAGTTCTGCTCTGATTTTAGTTATTTCTTGCCTTCTGCTAACTTTTAAATGTGTTTGCTCTTGCTTTTCTAGTTCTTTTAATTGTGATGTTAGGGTGTCAATTTTGGATCTTTCCTGCTTTCTCTTGTGGGCATTTAGTGCTATAAATTTCCCTCTACACACTGCTTTGAATGTGTCCCAGAGATTCTGGTATGTTGTGTCTTTGTTCTCGTTGGTTTCAAAGAACATCTTTATTTCTGCCTTCATTTCGTTATGTACCCAGTAGTCATTCAGGAGCAGGTTGTTCAGTTTCCATGTAGTTGAGCGGCTTTGAGTGAGATTCTTAATCCTGAGTTCTAGTTTGATTGCACTGTGGTCTGAGAGATAGTTTGTTATAATTTCTGTTCTTTTACATTTGCTGAGGAGAGCTTTACTTCCAACTATGTGGTCAATTTTGGAATAGGTGTGGTGTGGTGCTGAAAAAAATGTATATTCTGTTGATTTGGGGTGGAGAGTTCTGTAGATGTCTATTAGGTCCGCTTGGTGCAGAGCTGAGTTCAATTCCTGGGTATCCTTGTTGACTTTCTGTCTCGTTGATCTGTCTAATGTTGACAGTGGGGTGTCAAAGTCTCCCATTATTAATGTGTGGGAGTCTAAGTCTCTTTGTAGGTCACTCAGGACTTGCTTTATGAATCTGGGTGCTCCTGTATTGGGTGCATATATATTTAGGATAGTTAGCTCCTCTTGTTGAATTGATCCCTTTACCATTATGTAATGGCCTTCTTTGTCTCTTTTGATCTTTGTTGGTTTAAAGTCTGTTTTATCAGAGACTAGGATTGCAACCCCTGCCTTTTTTTGTTTTCCATTTGCTTGGTAGATCTTCCTCCATCCTTTTATTTTGAGCCTATATGTGTCTCTGCACGTGAGATGGGTTTCCTGAATACAGCACACTGATGGGTCTTGACTCTTTATCCAATTTGCCAGTCTGTGTCTTTTAATTGGAGAATTTAGTCCATTTACATTTAAAGTTAATATTGTTATGTGTGAATTTGATCCTGTCATTATGATGTTAGCTGGTGATTTTGCTCGTTAGTTAATACAGTTTCTTCCTAGTCTCGATGGTCTTTACATTTTGGCATGATTTTGCAGCGGCTGGTACCGGTTGTTCCTTTCCATGTTTAGCACTTCCTTCAGGA
This sequence comes from Homo sapiens, assembly GCF_000001405.40. NCBI lineage: Eukaryota > Metazoa > Chordata > Mammalia > Primates > Hominidae > Homo > Homo sapiens. The sequence goes on from NC_000001.11 coordinate 223,399,709, forward strand.
GCTCTTTTAGGGCAGGCCTAGTGGTGACAAAATCGGTCAGCATTTGCTTGTCTGTAAAGTATTTTATTTCTCCTTCACTTATGAAGCTTAGTTTGGCTGGATATGAAATTCTGGGTTGAAAATTCTTTTCTTTAAGAATGTTGAATATTGGCCCCCACTCCCTTCTGGCTTGTAGGGTTTCTGCAGAGAGATCCGCTGTTAGTCTGATGGGCTTCCCTTTGAGGGTAACCCAATCTTTCTCTCTGGCTGCCCTTAACATTTTTTCCTTCATTTCAACTTTGGTGAATCTGACAATTATGTGTCTTGGAGTTGTTCTTCTCGAGGAGTATCTTTGTGGCGTTCTCTGTATTTCCTGAATCTGAACATTGGCCTGCCTTGCTAGATTGGGGAAGTTCTCCTGGATAATATCCTGCAGAGTGTTTTCCAACTTGGTTCCATTCTCCCCATCACTTTCAGGTACACCAATCAGACGTAGATTTGGTCGTTTCACATAGTCCCATATTTCTTGGAGGCTTTGCTCATTTCTTTTTATTCTTTTTTCTCTAAACTTCCCTTCTTGCTTCATTTCATTCATTTCATCTTCCATTGCTGATACCCTTTCTTCCAGTTGATCGCATCGGCTCCTGAGGCTCCTGCATTCTTCACATAGTTCTCGAGCCTTGGTTTTCAGCTCCATCAGCTCCTTTAAGTACTTCTCTGTATTGGTTATTCTAGTTATGCATTCTTCTAAATTTTTTTCAAAGTTTTCAACTTCTTTGCCTTTGGTTTGAATGTCCTCCCGTAGCTCAGAGTAATTTGATCGTCTGAAGCCTTCTTCTCTCAGCTCGTCAAAGTCATTCTCCATCCAGCTTTGTTCCGTTGCTGGTGAGGAACTGCGTTCCTTTGGAGGAGGAGAGGCGCTCTGCGTTTTAGAGTTTCCAGTTTTTCTGTTCTGTTTTTTCCCCATCTTTGTGGTTTTATCTACTTTTGGTCTTTGATGATGGTGATGTACAGATGGGTTTTCAGTGTGGATATCCTTTCTGTTTGTTAGTTTTCCTTCTAACAGACAGGACCCTCAGCTGCAGGTCTGTTGGAATACCCTGCCGTGTGAGGTGTCAGTGTGCCCCTGCTGGGGGGTGCCTCCCAGTTAGGCTGCTCAGGGGTCGGGGTCAGGGACCCACTTGAGGAGGCAGTCTGCCCGTTCTCAGATCTCCAGCTGCGTGCTGGGAGAACCACTGCTCGCTTCAAAGCTGTCAGACAGGGACATTTAAGTCTGCAGAGGTTACTGCTGTCTTTTTGTTTGTCTGTGCCCTGCCCCCAGAGGTGGAGCCTACAGAGGCAGGCAGGCCTCCTTGAGCTGTGGTGGGCTCCACCCAGTTCGAGCTTCCTGGCTGCTTTGTTTACCTAAGCAAGCCTGGGCAATGGCGGGCACCCCTCCCCCAGCCTCGCTGCCGCCTTGCAGTTTGATCTCAGACTGCTGTGCTAGCAATCAGCGAGATTCCATGGGGGTAGGACCCTCCGAGCCAGGTGTGGGATATAGTCTCGTGGTGCGCCGTTTTTTAAGCTGGTCTGAAAAGCGCAATATTCTGGTGGGAGTGACCCGGTTTTCCAGGTGCGTCCATCACCCCTTTCTTTGACTCGGAAAGGGAACTCCCTGACCCCTTGCGCTTCCCAGGTGAGGCAATGCCTCGCCCTGCTTCGGCTCGCGCACGGTGCGCGCACCCACTGGCCTGCGCCCACTGTCTGGCACTCCGTAGTGAGATGAACCCGGTACCTCAGATGTAAATGCAGAAATCACTCGTCTTCTGCGTCGCTCACACTGGGAGCTGTAGACCGGAGCTGTTCCTATTCGGCCATCTTGGCTCCTCCCAATTTTGGGAATTTCTATGAAAATGACTTCGCTTTGTGAATTTCGATTTGAATAGAAAATACTCATTTAGCTCTCAAGTAATCTTAGAAACACACAACAGGCACATTTTGGAGACACCAGAGAAAAATCTATAGTTAGGGATACAATTCTGTGATATGTCTTAAGTCTTTTCCTGTCCCAGAACTTATGAAAGGGTGAAGTATAAAGTACCGGTCATAAGAAATCTCCAAGACAAAAAGAAATTTTAAAAAGGGCGAAGTGGGAGGATTCCTGTGAACGAGTAGATTTGGGAACCCTGCATATTATATCCTCTCTTGGGAGTTCATAATGCACTTTAAAATTTTAAAGACTCTGAAAAGGCATGCAGTAAAGACAGTTATTTGTTTAATGCCCCTCCCCCCTTTTTTTCTCAGATAATTTCATGGAATTGATGTTCTGTGAAACATTTTTGGAAACAGCACTCTGTAGTTCCTATATGATTGTGAACTTCTTTGGCCTTCCCTCCCTGTGTTGATAGGAAGTGTTTATAATTCCATCAGCACTATGTCTTGACTGTTCCACCACAGCCAGGCCATCTGATATAGTTTGGCTGTGTCCTCACCCAAATCTCATCTTGAGCTGTAGCTCCCGTAATTCCCAGGTGTTGTAGGAGAGGCCTTGGGAGATAATTGAATCATGGGGGTGGGGTTTCCCCCATACTATTCTCATAGTAGTGAATAAGTCTAAAGAGATCTGACTGTTTTATAAGGGGAAACCCCTTTCACTTGATCTCATTCTCTCTTGTCTTTCACCTTCCACCATGATTGTAAGGCCTCCCCAGCCACATGGAATGAGTCCATTAAACCTCTTTCTCTGTATAAATTACCCACTCTTGGGTAAGTGTTTATCAGCAACGTGAAAACAGACTAATACATCATCTAAGAGCTCATTAGAATCTATTTGGTCTGCTTCTTTTTTTGGTCAGTCCTATCCAGTCTTATGAAATAAAATTCTATTGGAATCCTTCTCTTCCCCTCTATTTCTCCTCTGTCTCTTTTGGAGGAGGTATGTGATGTCATTCTGTCTACCCACATTGTGTCTAATTAACCTAACCAGGCCCTGAGTCAATGACTAAGCATGACTCAGTAATATGACATTTTAAAAATAAGGAGCCAAAAGTTAAATAGAAATTAACCCATCATATCTCAGAGTCTTCATTGAAATCTCTAAATGCTTTCTTTAAAAAGCCCCTAGTGTCACGTTTGTATTAGAGAGAGAGAAATAGAATAAGCCCCATTGGGAGATTTATATCTTATTAGTAATTCTAAAACATTAAAGGTAACCTGACAAAGGATTTTGTGCAGAGGTCAGTTTGAGGTCCACTTTCTTGGCTCTTATCATGGAAACCACGCCCTCTTCCCCATTCCATTTTCTTCCCCTGCCCCAGATCCCTTCTGCCTGGTATGCCCAAAGAGGCCTACTGTAGGACCCTTACTCTTTTCCTCAGAAATGTTCAGGGACAGCCCCCTTGCTCAAAATGGAAGGGCTCACATATCTTGCCTCAATTTCCAACCTTATTCTCTTCTCCTTGCCCAAGTTAATCCTCTGTTCCGGCCAAATGCCATGTGCAACCCAAATATTCAAGAGTAATGCTTAAGACATTTCAGACAGACTTTGTTATGAATCCTAGCTCTTCCTCTTAGTACAGTTGTGTGAGACTGGAGAAGTTACCTTTTTGAGCCTGTTTTCTTGTTTGTAAAATGGAAAATAATTCGTACTTCAAAGGCACGTTGCAAAGGATGATAAAAACTAATCCATGTAAGGTGTTTGGCACAGTGCCCAGAACCTGATACATACCCTATAGTTAAGTACTGCAGGGTTTTTTGGTTAATAACACTGATCTTGCACCTTTCTCAGTTCCATTATCCCTACTTTGGTGTCTTTTCCCCAGCTGCCCCCTTCTACCATATCCATGCCTGGGTTTTCTGAGCTTAGTTCACATTCTGCCTCTTCCCTGGCTGCCCCATCTTGACATCACTCTTCACTGACAAACTGCATGGCTCATGGAGTACTTAGTAGTTACTGCTTGTATGGCATACCTATTTTGCAATCCACATCTTGGCTTCCTAACTAGCCTACATGCTACTTGAAGCCAGGATCATCGTCTTAGACTTCTTTATACAGTACTTAACATGGTGGTCAATACATAGTCAAAATAAAGGCCATAAAACAGGATGTTTTGACTTCACCTCCATATCCCATGCATTTTTTCCTAATGTTCTTTGCTTTTTGCTCCAAGAAATAAATACAGACTTGTATTTTTTCCAATTCTTTGTGAATATTACTGGTAGAACTAATCTATACAAAATGAATTTAACAGAAATGGAGTAGACTTACTTTTTCTTATTTTTCCCTTAAGTACAATTAAAAGCCCTCAACATCATACATAAAACAAACATGAGAACACTGAAAGGTGGAGAGACGACAGACCAGCTAGGGACCTTGGGACCCAAGGAGCCACACAGTGGTAAATTTCCTGGGCTTTTTTTGACCTCATATATCTCAGACCAGGAGCCAAAGAAAGGAATAACCCCAAGAAACCAAGTGCAGACAAAAAAGCCCCAACACAAGTCAGCTCTTTCCAGTCAAAGGATCAAGAAAGGGCAGGCTAACAAGAAAAAAAACTTTAGACAATAACCACTCTACTCCAACAAACTCCACCCTTACCCATGCCAGCAAAGACTGAGGGGGGAACCTAGACTTTTACCCTCGCAAGCTGAAACAAGGAGCTCCCTCCTCCTGCCCTAGCAATGCCAGCAGAGACCACAGGGGAACTCAGACTTCCAACCACCGCCTCCCCAGGCATCTCTCCCCACCTCCCCACCTCCCCACCTCCCCATTGGATGATGTCAAAGGAAGATGAGTGGAGTTAGGACTTCTATCAGTATCCACCAGGAACAAGGCTGAATACCCCTTTTTTGGCCCCCAGCCCCTGCCACCCTGTAGAGGCCACATAGGAACCAGTAATGAGGCATTCCTACACCTCCTAGACAGGGAGGTATTAGTAGAGGCCTGAAGGGGAGCCAGGACTCCCACCCCCACCAGCAGTAATAAAGGTGCGCACACACACACCTCAGGTGACAATGGAGGTTGAGTAGGGACCTGGAGTTCTGTCCCCAGCTGGTAGTAATAAGGCAGTGGCCCCCTTTCTCTTCTGGAGTGGTGTCAGAGGAAGCCAGATAAAACAAAAGGTTTAAATAAGTTCTAGCCTTATAATACTCAAGATGTCTAGGTTTCAACTGAGATTCACACTTTATACCAAGAACCAAGGACATCCCAAACTGAATGAAAAGGTAAACAATAGATGCCAACATGCGGACAAATGTTAGACTTACCTTAAAAAGAACTTAAAGCCACCATAATAAAAATACCTTAACAAGCAATTATGAACACGTTGAAACAAAAAAAAAGGAAATATCTGCAAATAGATAGAAAGTCTTAGCAAATAAATAAGAAGTATAAAGAAGAACCAAATGAAAATTTTAGAACTGGAAAATACAATAACAATAATCAAAAACTCAGTGGATGGACTCAACAACTGAATAAAGGGAGAAAGCAGAGAATCCGTGAACTGGAAGAGAGAACAATAAAAATTACCCAAACGGAGAAACAAAATTTATTGGGGAACAAAATGAGTAGAGTCTTATGGGCCTATGTGACTATAACAAAAGATCTAACATTCATGGTATGGGAATCCAGGAGAAAGGTACAATAAGGAGAGGGCTGAAAAAGTACTCAAGGAAACAATGGCTGAAAACTTTTCAAATGTGATAAAGTATTAAACTCTAAAAGGGTAAACCCATAGAAATCCATAAGATACAACATAAACTTCTAAAACTAAAGACAAAGAAATTATTGATCAAGAGAGTGAGAAAATAAGCCATAAACTGAGAGAATATTTGCAAAATACTGATTATATTAAAATTAAATAAAGTATACTTCAGAGCAAAGAAAACTACCAGAAACAGAGAGGAACATTATAAATTTACAATACAGTCAATCCACCAAGAAGACATAGCAATTCTAAACATGTATCAAACAACAGAGCTACAAAGCGTGTGAAGCAAAAACTAATAGAACTGTAGCTGGGCGTGGTGGCATATGCGTGTGGTCCCAGCTACTCAGGAAGCTGAGGTGGGAGGATCACTTGAGTCTGAGAGGCAGAGGTTGCAATGAGGCAAGATCATGCCACTGCAATCCAGCCTGGGTGGCAGAGTGAGACCCCATCTCAAAAAAAATTAAACCAATAAAAGAAAAAAAAAACTAATAGAACTGGAAAGACAAATAGATAAATCCACAGTTATAGTTGAAGATTTCAATAAGCAGAAAATCAGCAAGGATGCAGAAGAATACAAAAACACTATCAACTAACAAGATCTAATCAACATTTCTAGAAGACTCAAACAACAGGAGAATATGCATTTTTTTTCCAGGCCATGGAGCATATACAAAGATAGAACATATTCTGGGCCATGAAACAAGCTCAACACATTTTTAAAAACTGAAATCATACAAAATGTGTTCTCCAATCACAATAGAATCAAAATTATAAATCAATAACAAAATAAGAAAACATCTAGTGCTTGGAAATTTAACACTTCTAAATAATCCACAAATCAAACTGGAAGTCTCAAGGGAAATAAAAAATTCACATTGAACTGAATGAAAAATAAAACTTGTCAAATTCATGAGACACAGCTAAAGCAGTGTTGAGAGGGAAATTTATAGCGTTAAGTGCATACTTTAGAAAAGAGGGAAGGTCTCAAAACAATTATCTAGGCTTCCACTCAAGAACCTTGAAAAAGAGCAAAATAAACCCAAGGCAAGCAGAAGAAAGAAAATAATAAAGAGCAGAAAACAAAGCAAAAATAAAAAACAATAGAGAAAATGGGTGAAACAAAGATCTGGTTCTTTGAAAAGTTGAATAAAATTGACAACCCTCTAGAAAAACTGACAAAGAAAAAAAGGATGACACAAATTACCAATACAATGAGTGAAATGGGTATATCATTACAGACCCTGCAGACATCAAAAGGATAATAAGGAAATACCATGAACAACTTTACACACATAAATTTGACAACTTATGTGAATGGACCAAACACAAATTAACACAACTCACCCAATATGAAATAGATCATTGAATATCCCCATAACTACTAATAAAATTAAATTCACAATTTAAAAACTCCCCCCAAAAATCTCTAGCCCAAGAGCACTTTCCAGTTCATTTCGGGAAGCTAGTATTACCCTAATTCCAAGCCAGGCAAAGAGAATGGATGAAATAAACAAAAACTACAAATTAATGTCCTTCATGAATATAAACATAAAATCTCTAGTAAAACTTAGCAAATTGCATTCAACAATATATGAAAAGAATTATATGCCACAATCAAGTGGAGTTTATTCCAAGAATTCAATTTAGATTCCAAATTCAATATTCTAAAATCAATCATCATATTAATAAGCCACGATATTAACAAGCTAAAAAAGAAAAATCACATGAACATATCAATTGATGCAGAAAAAGCATATGACAAAATTCAGCACCCATTCATGGATAATACTTTCAGAAAAGTAAGAATAGAAGGAAACTTTCTCAGCTTGATAAACAGTATCTACAAAAGAAAAAAAATGAAAGAAAACAAAACAAAAACCTACAGCAAACATCGTACCTAATAGTGAAAGCCTGAATGCTTTCCCCCCAAAATTATAAACAAGGCAAGGATGTCGATACTTACCACTCTTGTTCAACATAGGCCTGGAAGGCAAGAAAAGGAAATAAAACCCATACATATTAAAAAGAAAGAAATAAAACTACCCCTATTTGCAAATAATAGGATGGCTTATGTAGAAAATTTTAAGGCATCTTCTAGAGTGAATGAGTTCAGCAAGGTAGAAAGATACAAGATCAACATTTAAAAAAATCAATAGTATTTCTATATATTATCAATGAATATGTGTTGCCAAAATTTTAAAATACAATACCATTGACAATCACTAAAAAAAAGGAATATCTAGATGTAAACCTAAAAAAAATGTATAAGACTTGTCTGCTAAAAACTATAAAATGCTGATGAAAGAAATAAAAGACCTCAATAAATGGAGAAACATACTCTTCGTAGATCAGAAGACTCAACATAATAAACATGTCAATTCCCCCCAAACTAACATACTGATTAATTGCAATTTCTGTCAAAATCCCAGCCAGATTTTTATAAATACAGAAAGATAATTCTAAAATATATCTGGAAAAGCAAAGGAACTAGAATAGTTAAAACAATTTTGAAAAAGAAAAGTGGGAGGAATTTTATGACTTTTTCTATAGCTACCATAATCAAGACTGTGTGGTATTGGTAAAGGGACACATACATCAGAGGAACATAAAAGAGAAAACAGAAATAGACCCATATAAATATGTCTGATTAATTTTCAACAAAGACGCAAAAGCAATTTGATGGAGAAAGATAACCTGTTCAACAAATGATGCTGGAACAAGAGGATATCTCCGAGGTGGGGGGAAGCACGGGGGAAGTCACACATCTTATATAAAAATTAACTCAAAATGGATCATGGACTTAAATGTAAATTGTAGTACTACAAAACTTTTAGAAAAAAATATGAGAACATCTTTAGGATCCAGGGTTAGGCAAAAAGTTCTTAAACTTGACACGGAAAGTTCAATCGATTAAAAAAACCTGATAAATTGGAATTTATCAGAATCATAAATGTTTACTCCATGAAAGACTCTTAAGAATAAAATGACAAGCTGCAGAGTGGGAAAATGCAAATTAAAACCACAGTGAGATATCACTATTCACCTGTCAGAATGGCTAAAATAAGAAATAGTGACAACACCAATTGCTGACAGGAACGCAGAGAAACTGGATCACTCATATGTTGCTAGTGGGAATGTAAAGTGGTACAGCCACTCTGGGAAACAGTGTGGCAGTTTCTTCAAAAACTAAAGACGTAACTACTGTACAACCCAGTGATAGGACTCGTGAGCATTTATCCCTGAGAAATTAAGACTTACAGTCTCACGAAAACCTGTATGTGAATATAACAGCTTTATTTGTAATAGCCAAAAACAGGGTTAACCTAGATGTCCTTCAATTGCTGAAGGTTAAACAAACTGTAGTACATCCAGACCATGGAATACCACTCAGCAATAAAAAGAAAGCCACTTTTTTTTTTTTTTAGACAGAGTTTCACTCTAGGCTGGAGTGCAATGGTGCGATCTCGGCTCACTGCAACCTCTGCCTCCCGGGTTCAAGCAATTCTCCTGCCTCAGCCTCCCAAGTAGCTGGGATTACAGGCGCCCACCACCACGCCCAGCTAATTTTTGTATTTTTAGTAGAGATGGGGTTTTGCCATGTTTGCCAGGCTGGTCTCAAACTCTTGACGTCAGGTGATCCACCCACCTCGGCCTCCCAGAGTGCTGGGATTACAGGCGTGAGCCACCCCACCTGGCCCCAAATACTGATTCATCCAATAGCTTAGATGAATTATGCTGAGAAAAAAAAAAAAGCCAATCCCAAAAAGTTACGTAATGTGTGATTCTAATTATATAGCATTATTGAAATAACAAAATTGCAGAGAACAGATTAGTGGCTTTCAGGGACTGTAAATGGGTGGAAATGGAGGAAAGTGGGTGTGGTTATAAAATCTAAATATGAGGGATCCTTCTGGTGATGGAAATGTTTTGTATCTTGACTTTATCAATGTCAATATCCTAGATGTGATATTGTATTGTAGTTTACAAGATGTTATCACTGGGAGAAACCAGGTAACAGGCATGCAGGATCTCTCTGTATTATTTCCTAAAACTGCATGTGAAACCATAATTATCTCAAAATAAAAAGTTTATGAAAACAAAATAAAACTGACATTACTAAAACTGCACATTGTATATTGCTAGGGGAAAATGGCAGAAAGAAATAACATTTTGTTGTCAACAATAACAACCTCAAAAGTTGACACCAGAAAAACTAGGTTTGGTAGAAATTTATTAACACAAAGTAAACTCAATGATGGCTAAAACTGCAAATAGTAACATTTGTGATACACTAAATTTGAATGATGGAACCAAAGTTTTTATAACACTTTCATATGCAGAATTCAACCTAGGAAAGTTGAACTTGGAAGAAATAATTGCCACAAAGGAAAGCCCACAATGACAGAGGCTATAATTGGTCACATTTGATATCGCCAAAAACGCTAATAAAGAAATGCAATTGATCTTAACACAAAGAAGTTTTTGTAAACTGAAAACAAAAATTAAAAAATTGGAAGCAGAGACTATACCATTAAAAACTGATCACAGAATTGAATTGGCTTAAAGGGATTTGTGGTTGGAAAATACTCTCTCAATGCTCAATGAAAATGTATTAGCCTTGGTTTTCTGACTTAAACATTTGTATTTAAGTACATATCAGATCAAAGCTACAAGATCAAAACATCCTACCCTCTTTGGCTATTGCCAAATCTTATCAAAGGCCTACTATATGCCAGGCACTTGACACATACTAGGCTCTTTTATATTCATTTGTCTCCTTTAATTTCATAACATCTCTGTGGTGTACATATTACAGTATTTCACAGATAAGAAACTAAGGCTTAGCAGTGAGGTTGAGCAAGATTTCTGATATGCTGCTGCTAGTAAATTCTGATAGAGCTGGAATTTGAGCCCCAGGTTTTTCTGACTCCCAATGCAGTCTTCTTACATTATGTGGCCTTTTAACAATTAAAAGGAAGTAGGACACAATGGTTAGAACACAAGCTCTGAAGCCACACTGCTCATGTTAAAATCCAAGATTCATTCCTTAACTAATCAGTCACTTTGGACAAGATTCTTAACCCATCCATGCATCAGTTTCTTTATCCAACTAAAGGGAATAAAGTACTGTATATAACTCATAGGGTTGTGATGATTAAACAAATTAATACATGTAAGGAATTTAGAACAGTGCCTAACACATGATAAGAACTCCATGTTGGTTTTTATTATGTAATTTTTTCTTGAGTCTAGTGCCGGACACAAATTTTTATTTAAAAAAATCTGAATTGCAAGTGCACTCAGAATTTGGGAGGAATGAATGGCAAATTAACCTAACTCTTGTCAAATATTAAAATATACATGTCTTTTATGGTAGAAATTTAAAGACTGACTGTTGGCTTAGTTGCATTTAAACTTATAGACCTCAGAAGTTTTAAAGAAATTACTTGAATTAGCCGGGCGTGGTGGTACATGCCTGTAATCCCAGCTACTCAGGAGGCTGAGGCAGTAGAATTGCTTGAACCTGGGAGGCGGAGGTTGCAGTGAGCCGAGATCACGCCACTGCCCTCCAGCCTGGGTGACAGAGCAAGACTCTGTCTCAAAAAAAAAAAAAAGTTACTTGTGACTTTAGGGGATGTAAGTGTTTCTCCCCCAACTGCATAACTGAATTAATTCTACATTGGAACAGCCTTTGTTAATGTTCTCCCTCCATCCTAATCCTATAGCAGCAATTCCGCATTGGTTGGGGGGGAAATGCTGACCCAATTGGGTGTTCTCAGGCATTAATCCTTCCTAGGTCTGGAATGTCATTAAAATTATCTGGAGCTGCATTCTTCTCCTTTTTGTATATCTTACATAATCCAAGAGTCTTTCAATAATAAGCTTTAAAAAATTATTTTTGAGACATCAAACACTTGCCAATTGATTTTGTCTTTTTCAGAAGTCAGAAAGTTCTGGGTATTTTCCAGTTCTATGTCTAGTTATAACTAGACCCATTTCCCTTCTAATAGCACTTGAAACCAGAATAGTACTATTTCCAGCTAATTTTCCTGTGCTTCAGAAGGAGTTATTGTTTCATTTTGATGTTGCAGATGTTCTAACTCAAAGGAACGAGGAAGTCAGATTCGCTGGCAAGTTTATATTTTGTGGTTTAAGTAGAAGTGAGCTAATTCTCAAAAAATGGGGAGCCACTCCAAAAGGTTCTAAGTCTTATTTTCTGCATTGGCCTAATTGTCACTTGTATTGTGTGGGTGATGGCACTTGCTACAAGTCATGTCTCTTTTACTGACTTGAAAGTGGCAAAGGGGCAGAAGGGTTAGGTCCCAGTTGTGGCACAGTGAGGGAGTCCTCCTGTAGCCCTCTGAATGTATGTGCTGTCAGTGACAAGCCCTCCTTCTTTATAATCATTTTTAAAATATCTTCCTTACAGCCTCAGCTCAGAAATAGACCCATGTGTTAATCAAGGCTAAAGATGGACACTTCCATGTGGCATGGAAGATGGCCACCAAAAGCCTCAGGCTTATGTGCATCCCATTTGCAATGCAAGAAGAGAGACTTCTTTGCCTCTGATATGGAGAATTCCAGAAGAAGACTTGGATGGGGCCAGCTTTGGTCACAAGCCCTTCCCTTGGACCTGTGTCCATTATAGTATTAGAGCATATAGCATTATACTTGATCTAGTGTGCAAATTGGGCCATGGGGGCTGTTACCAGAATGGGGTAGAATTGGCAAGGGTGTTATTGGACAGCTTTGTACACACAAGAGAGCCTGAGAACAATCATAAGATGAGATGTAGGAAAGTATGTGCCACAAACAGTAACCAACATTTATTTGGGGTAGCTTTAATGGCAATGAAATGTTTCCATGTTTCCTTGGATTTTCATACTCCCTCTCCATTTAATGCAAAAAACAGGCCCAAACCTCTACTTCCCACAGTGTGGGGGATTCGCTGTCTTGAGGGCCCTCCTGCTTTCAAACAGCTATCTGCTTCCTAAAATACAATTTATTTGCATTGCTGGGATTTTGGAAGTAAGGGAAACCTCCACAGGGACTTCATGCACACAAACACACACACACATTGAGAGAGAGAGAGAGAGAGTCTGTATGCATAAAGGCAGAATTCCTCTGAGGACAAACAACAATATAGCAATAAGGATAAGCTGACTCTGAGATTCCCAGTTTAGACCAGAGACCCTGAAAGGAGATGACATTGGTCCAGGGTAATTGTGTCCCTGGTTCCTGGCAGAAGCAAACACAAATCCACTCTTGAGCAGGCATCCTCAATTTAAGCTCTCAAGTTTTTCACAGATTAAGATGAGTCCAATATGAGTTCACAAAGATCATTCACACAAATAAACAAATCATAATGAGTGATAATCAATAGAAATAAAAATATTAAAACCCATACAGACTTTAAATATTAGAATTATCAGAATCAGAGGAGAGAAAAACCACATATAAAATGTTTAAGAAAAAATATCATCACAAAAACGGGCAAGCAGAAGGGAATGGCATATACGACTAGTCATATTTGAAAAAGAAATGCAACTTTTCGAAATAAAAAATATAGTTTTTTGCTATTTCAAAAACCGCAAAGGGTGGCAGTAAATAGCATACTAAACATAGCTGAGGAGAGAATTAGAGAACTTGAAGATAGGTCCATAGAGATTTCCCAGAATACAACACAGAGAAACAATATATAAAATGTGAAAGAGACGTTAAGAGATGCAGAAGATAAAACAAGAAGTTTCAATAGCAAATCAGGGTCCAGGAGGAAGGAATAGAGAAAATGGGAGAGAGAACAAATTAAAGATTTCTTTCTAGAACAATGAAAAATGAGTACATTGACGCAGTAAGCATCCCATGACAGTCTCCAGAAAATACAAAGACAGTAAATCCAACTGTAGGCATATTGAAAGTAACATGCTGAACACCAAAAACAAACAGAATCTCTTAAAGGCATTTTAAAAAGAAAATGCATCACCTACAAAGGAATGACAATTAGACTGGCAGCAACTTTCTCAACAGCAAAAACCAAAGCCAAGAGACAGTGAAATAATACCTTCTAAGTGCCAAGAGAAAATAACAGTCATCCTAGAATTGTCCACCCAGCAAAAATATCTTAACTCATAAGAGTAAAATGAAAACATTTTCAGAGAAACAGAAACAGAATTTACTACTAGCAGACCGAAGCCAAAGAAACATTTATAAAATGCACTCTGGAAAGAAGAAAAATGATCTTGCAAAATAAATAAATAAGTAAATGTTAACAAACATCATCTATAAAAATGACATCTAATTTCCACATCTAATTTATGGAAATAAAAATGTTTAAAGGACAAAATCAAAATACAAAAAGACAATAGAATGAAAGTTGGGAGAAGAAATAAATTTGAGTGGCCTCTACTCACTTATAATGGGAGCTGAGCTATGGGTATGCAGAGGCATACAGAATGGACACAGGAGACTCAAAAGTGAGGAGGGTGGGTGAGGCATGAGAGATAAAATAAAATTACTCATTGAATACAATGTACAACATTTGAGTGACAGGCACACTAAAAGCCCAGACTTCAGTACTATACAATTCATCCATGTAACCAAAAACCTCTTGTACCCCTAAAGCTGTTGAAATAAAAAAAGAAAAAGAAATTATTACGTGGTTTGATAGGAGGGTTGAGATTCTAATGTTAGAGTTTAGTAGATTTGCATGGTAAAATTTCAAGGGAAACCGCAAAAGAACAGAAATAGAATATGGCATAACTTCCAGACAAGTAGAAGAAAAAATGGAATAAGAAAGCAACCAAAATTCAAAGTGTTAACATTCAAGAAGAGGAAAATAGGCATAGTAAAAATGGAATAAATAAGATGCAAAAAGTAACAAATAGTACAGAGGAATACAGATGCATCAGTCACCACAGTGAATGAAAAAGACTAAATTCATCACACAATAGATCAATATTGTCACACTAGATATTTTTAAAATTCAGTTATGCTATTCACAAGGGACACATTTAAACATAAGGAGAAGGAAATGTTGGAAGTGACAGATACATTAAACAAATATTAACCAAAAGAAAGCTTTCTGCTGTCAGGGAATACAGACTTTAATAGAGAAGGCATTATATAGACAGACAGGACCACTGTATAATAACAAAATGATTGATCTGGAAGATGAAGCAATTCTAGAAAATCTTACATATATGTAAAGCAAAATCAATAGAACACAAAGAGGAGTTAAACTCATCATCAGAGTGAGACATGTTCAAAGATACCTCTTTTATTTATTGATAAACAAAAAAGTCAAAATATAAAAAATCGGCAAGTTTGGTTTATTGGACACATGTAAAGTCCATATAACAATGAAAAATTGACAAAAATTGACCATGGGATAGGCCATAAGAGAAGTATCAAGATTTTCAAATATTCAATAGCCTATGGACCAAGTTTTCTAATCACAATGCAGTTAAATTAGAACTCAAAAACATATGCTTAGAATTTTAAAATCTCATTTTAAAATACTCTGTGGATTAAAGCATCATTAACAGAAATTTTAAAGTATTTAGAACTGGACAATAATAAAAATACCATATACCAAGGCTTATGGCATGAAGTGAAAAAGGTAATACAAGAGAAATATAGAGACTCAAATGCTTATTAACATGAGAGAAGAAAAGCTAAAAATTAATGAGCTAAGCAACCAACTTAAGAAATCAGAAAAGGAACAACAGAATACATACAAGAAAGTAAAAGAAAGATAACTATAAATACAGGCATTCATAAAATAGAAAGCAAAGATGTGACAGAGTTGATTAACAAAACCAAAAATTGGTTCTTTGGAAACAAAAATAAAATGACTAAACTTCTAACAGGATTGTTAGACAGCTATGGTTTTTATCAGTATTATCAATATTATTCTTCATGGTCCTCTCTATTAAGAATCTAGTAGCTTGTAGCTGGGCATGGTGGCTTACGCCTATAATCTCAGCACTTTGGGAGGCTGAGGTGGGCAGATTGCTTGAGCCCAGGAGTTCAAACCCAGTTTGGGTACATGTTTACCTATGCAACAAACCTGCACATTTTGCACATGCACCCTTGCACTTAAAGTTGAAAAAAAATTTTTTGTTTTAAATTAGCTGGGTGTGGTGGCTCATGGCTGTAATCTCAGCTACTCAAGAGGCTGAGGCAGGAGGATGGTTTGAGCCTGAGAGGTCGAGGCTGCAGTGAGCCATGTTTGCACCACTGCATTGTAGCCTGGGTGACAGAGTGAGGCCTTGTAAAAAAAAAAAAAAAAAAAAAAAAAAAAAAAAAAAAAAAAGAAGAAGAAGAAGAAAAGAAAGAAAGAAAGAGAAAAGAAGAAAAAAGAAAATGAAAAAAAGAGATTTGCAATATTAAAAATAAAAAGAGGGATATACAGAGAGATCCAGCAGAGACTATAAAGATAATAGTGTACTATTAAAAACTATATGCCAAAGAATGCATAAAGAAGCAGAAGCTTAGAAGAAACACACATTCTTTTAAAAATAACCAACTCAAAAAAAAATTACGAAGTCCAAATAGCTCATAACCATTAAAACAAGTGAATCAATTGTCTAATTTTCCCACAAAGAGAATCACTGGGCACAGATGATTTTACAGGTAAGTTCTACCAACCATTCACAGAGTATATCATCTAATCTTATGCAAACTCTTTGAGAATACAGTGGCTCACGCCTGTAATCCTAGCACTTTGGGAGGCCAAGACAAGTGGATTGCTTGAGCTCAGGAATTTGAGACCAGCCTGGGCAACATAGTGAGACTCCGTCTCTACAAAAAATACAAAAATTAGCCAGGCGTAATGGCAGGCACCTGTAATCTTAGCTACTCAGAAGGCTGAGGTGGGAGGATTGCTTGAGCCCAGGCGGCAGAGGTTGCAATGAGCTGAGATTGCTCCCACTGCATTCCAGCCTGGGCGACAGAGCCAGAACCTGCCCCCCACCCCGAAAAAAAAGGTTAAAAAAAAGAAAAAGGATAGTCCCCAACTATTTATATGAGTGCACTGTACTTTGATACTAAAACTCAAAAAATCCAATAAAGTGATAGGAAAACCTCATTCATGAATATACAGGCAATAATCCTACACAAATATCAGCAAAATGAATCGTGTAGTTTATGGGAAAAGATAATACTGTACATCAGGACTAAGCTGGGATTTTTCCAAGAATATAATGCTTAACTTTAGGAAATCCATAATTATCATTCACCACATTAGCATATTAAAAGAATGAAACAATATTGTTTTTCAGTAGATGGAGAAAACACATCTGATGAAATTCAAAATACTATTTATTTATTTTTAATTAACTAGCTCAGATTAAAAACAGATTTCCTTAATCTGATAAAGGGAGTCTACCAAAAACCTACAGTAAATATTATTTTTAAGCATAAAACAGAGAAGGCTTTTAAAATCAGGACGAAAAAAGACAGGAGGCTGGGTGCGGTAGCCCACTCCTGGGATCCCAGCAGTTTGGGAGGCTCAGGTGGGTGGATCACTTGAGGCTAGGGCTTTGAGACTAGACTGGCCAAAAAGGTGAAACCCCCTCTTTACTAAAAATACAAAAAAAGTAGCCGTGCTTGTTGGCATGCACCTGTAGTCCCAGCTATTCGGGAGGCTGAGGCAGGAGAATCACTTGAACCTGGGATACGGAGGTTGCAGTAAGCTGAGATTCCACCACGGCACTCCAGCCTGGGCGAGAGAGCAAGACTCTGTCAGGAAAAAAAAAAAAAAAAGAGAAAAGAAGAAAGGAAGGAAGGAAGGAAGGGAGGGAGGGAGGGAGAAAGAGGGAGGGAGGGAGGGAGGAAATAAAAGGTATAAGGTTTGGAAAGGAGAAAAAACCCTTAAAACTCTCATTCACAGATGATATGATTTCTACATAGATGATGTGATTTTATCCACAATCTTAAAAGTTTATATGTTATATTCATAAAAGCACTTTTTGTGATAGCCAAGAACTGGAAACCATTCAATGTCCATCAATGGTAGAATGGATAAATAAATTGAGACATAGTCACACATTGAAATTCTATACAGCAAAGCGCATGGTCTACAACCATATTCATTCATGTGGGTGAATCTCACAAATTTCATGTTGAGTGAAAGATGCCAGCCACAAAACATCACCCACTATATGAGTTCATTTACATAAAACACAAACAGGCATAACTAATCTCTGCATGGAAATCAGGTTAGTGGTTACCCTTCGATGAGGGACTAATGGACAGAAGTGGCACAGGAATGTGGTGTGCAGTATTGAGGTAAGTATGGAATTTGGAGTCAAGCAGTGTTTGGTTTAAATATTAGCTCTGCTGTTTACCAATTGACTGGCCTTTCACAAAGGACATCACCACTGGGAGACTCAGTTTTTCAGCTAGAAAATGAACATACTAATGCTGCTCAGCTCACCAGATTGGTGTGAAGTGAAGAAGAAAACATATGTGAAACATCTGGCTCAGAAAGTTCTGAAAAATGGCAGCTATTGTTGTTATCAGTTTTATTATTCCTCGTGGTCCTCTCCGTTAAGAATCTAGTGACTTGTAGCCATGAACGGTGGCTCACACCTATAATCCCAGAGTTTTGGGAAGCCAAGGTGGGTGGATCACTTGAGCTCAGGAATTTGAGACCAGCTTGGACAACACAGTGAAACCTCATCTCTACAAAAAATACAAAAATCAGCTGGGCGTGTTGGTGTGTGCCTGTATTCTGGGCTACTGAGGAGGCTGAGTTGGGAGGATCACCTGAGCCAGGGAGGTTGAGGCTGCAGTGAGATGTGATTGCGCCACTACTTTCCAACCTGGGCAACAGAATGAAACCCTGTCAAAAAAAAAAAAAAAATCTAGTGACTTGTGAGTAGAAAACAGAGGTAACAAATAGAGAGTAACTCAGCAGATGACTTTACATTTAAATGTATTTCCTCCAAAGACACTTTGGGAACACTCCACTCCCCAGAGGTGGCTTGTTCAGCATGCACTGATATTGTCTTGTCATTGAAACTCCTGCCAAGGTCACATGCACCAATGCCAGATGGTAAATTCAGCATGGGGAGGGGCAGAGGCCTCTAGAGATGTTAAGTCAACTGCTGACTTTACTCTCCTTCCTGCAAATCTGAGAACGAGCACAAGTGACCTTTCATTCTTATCTTAATGGTAAGAGCTGCTTGAGTCTAGGGCATTTTGGTTTGGAGCTGAGAGGCTGTGGAATACCTTCTCAGTCCATTAGGGACTAGTTAGGCAGCCTCCTGCGCCCACCCTCACCCCTGCCCACTGGGGGCACAGGCATTTATCATGAAAAGAATGTAGCGCCTGCTTCCCCCAACCCCCATCAGATTTCCTGTTTTTTTTTTCTTTCTTTCTTTCTTTCTTTCTTTTTTTTCTAAAAGCTTCCAAAATAGATTTTGGATTGCAGCGTTTTCCTCAAATGTTTCTTCAAAGTGTTTCTTGAATAATTATTTGTGCTTAGTGTTTGAAAAATAACCTTGCTCAAAGAGAAGAAATATAATGAACCCATTTGAGATAATCTACATTAATGCAAGCAGCCCAAAGCAAAGGAGATAAAGAGGGAACATGAGGAGGGTCAACATTTGGGCTCTTGGAAGGGAGCCCTAAGAAACAAGATCAGCAAGACTTTAGTGATCAGTGCTCACTGAGCTTCCCTCATTAGACAGGGCAACTGGAGAGCACAACCAATATACACACAGGTGCACAGACACACACATGAGGGACATAGGAATGAGCAATTGGTCCAAGCATCCTACCAACGTGACTTCTGCTTCACCTCAACATGAGTTTAAGTAGTGTGGAAAGTAGGAAATGCTCCTGTAGTTCACGAAATAAAGCAAGAAAGGAGCTTCCAGCGAGGTGCGCTGGGTAGGACAGCCACCCAAAGCCCAAAATAGAAACAGCTCCTCATCAGCCCAGAAGGAAAGGCATCCTACTCCCTGCCCAGGCTGAAGAAGACACCATCCAGAACATTAATCCTGCCACGCTTTAGTGCATCCAGAGCTTTGCAGCAGAAAAAGTCCTGGTAGAAATAATTTTTGCAAAATTATTGAACAAAAAAGAATACGCTTTGGAACAGACGGGATCGAAGATAATAGATGTGAAGGTGCTCAGGAAAATTAAAGGGGTTATATAAAGGTAAGAGATCATTGTTATTAGTGCTGTGTTTGCTTCGAAGATGCTGGAATATTTCTTCTCAATCGATGATCTTGACACCACAAGGGCCAATTCTGTCGGGATGAGGAGAGCATTGAGCCTGGAGCCAGAAGGGCCAGAGTCCAGCGCAGCTGTACTGCTCATGAACCACCAACTACCAGCAAGCCCCTCGGCTCTCTGGCCTTGAGATGCCACCTCTGTAAATGGGGCCTAATCATAGGGTTGATGGAACGTCACGTAGATGAAAGCGTCCAGTACTCAGGAGACACTTAAAGCAGCTACTGTTTACTGAGCTCTGTTTACTTTGCTCTAAACACCATGCCGGCACTGTGTCTTCCTTCTCTCGCTAATCTTCACAAGAAACTACAAGGTAAGAACTGCTGTTTTCCAGTTACAAGGAAGACACAGAAGTGCCAAGAGGTCAAGCAGACTGCCCTAAGTGACAGGATTTCAGAGCCCAACACAAACCCAGTGATTCTAGTCCCAGGCTCTGTTCATTCACTACCATGTTTTCCTCAATAAATATTGGTTGAATCCCGAGTAGGTTATCCATCCTTTGACGGCAGGTACTATTTGTTCTTCCTGAACTCTCATCCCAGAGCATCTGCTCCCGCGCTGGCTGCCAGTAAAATTTACTGAAATTGAAATGTTACAGCTCTGTGAGAAGGGCCCTGCTGGCCAGGTCAGGGCTCTCTGACAGCTATTTGGTGAGCTCCACGTGACTCCCCAATCCAGGTGGGATGACTTCTGCATGAGGGGGCGTGGGAGGCCCTCACACATGCAGCTTCCAAGGGCAACAGATGAGCTCATTGTGCCCATCCCTGACCTGTAAAGAGGGAACTACCTCTGGTACACTCTACGTGGCCAGACAGGTGTCTGAGATACTGGGACACCATCTAGCCCCGCTACAGGAGTGAAGTTTTAGCTTATCTCAAAGTGTCAAGAAAATAACTTCAGAAGTAACATTTGAGAGCATGGCTATCCTGCTTTGTAAATCTTGGCATGTTTTCTAAAACTTGATGTAAAGACTGTATTGTATAAAACACTGTACCACCAGCAACTTCCAGGCAAAAATGGCTAAAGTGAAAACAATGAAAAATGCACCCAGCGTTTCAAATTAAGGCTTCCTAACGTCATATCTCTTCATTCTTAAAGACAGGTGCACTGGGCTTGATTTGATGTGATACCCAAATACAACGGAACTGTAATTTAGGAAGCTCAAGTTATCTTTGAATCAACGATAAATTAATACTATTGTAAATTTTCTTTAGGATACCTTCTTCACATGCCAGAGATAATAATGTTCTGGTCTTCAATTAAATGAAAGATGGGATTAAATAATTCCCTGGGGAGCTAATTGGTAGATTTGGTGAAGCTGCTTTTCTCATGCAACCACATAGCCTCATGCTCTCTTCCTTGGGTATTTTCTTTGACACAAGTCTTATTATGCATTTGCCATTCTACACAAGTGCTTAGCTCAGAGTTGGTTCCTTTGGGGTATGTGTAGTACACTGCAGGAGAAGGATTGTTGCTGTGCCATGCAAAACCCAAGGAAGGACCCATGAATGAGCAGGACACAACCAAATTGTGTTGAAAAGCATGGGAGGCTGGCAGATGGAGCCGCTTATCAACTTGGCACCATGCTCTGGATCAAATCCAAGCCCTGCCTCTATTTTGATTAGTTAAAAATTTCAAGGACTGTTTGCCAGACTAAAACACAGTATGGATCAGAATTCATATCCCATGGTGTCTCCAGCCTCTAGCATGAAATACCCCTCAACTTTAATTGGCTTTGGTCTCAGCCTGCTTACATAAGCTCTTAGGCCCCTGCAAGGTTGCCCCTGGAAGTACACAGAGGAGGCCCCCATGTTCATGAACTGGATAGTGAGTGCAGCCATCATGATTGACATGTGGGCCATGTTCTGCCTCTCTCCTACTCCCATCCTCCTGAAAGTAAGAGTGGCTGGCATGGCTGGAGTGAGCCCCCAATGCCCCTGTTCCCCTGCACTGCCACTGCTACTGGTTTCAGGTGTTCTACAGTACAGGGTGCTGTGTTTCCAGAATACGTATAATGAACATTGCTGTCCCCCACAGTGAGTCCTACTTTGTCACAGGGACACACATACCTGCTGATCATATTCTTAGACTCCTAGTCTTTCATGCCAGACAGTGTCTTCAGCCTTCACCTGCTGCTGTCTCAACCCTGCCCCTGGTCCAGAAACCCAACACAAATTCCCCTCAGCCACACTCAGGGCTCCAGTGCAATTCACGTCTTGCAAAATGACTCCTCTAACCAGCTGACCAGCTCACCAGACAGGCCTAGACAAGTTTACTCTCGCTGAGGGATCAAGGAAAAATGCTCACACCAGGATTAATTTTATGCTGACAGTTTTGTTTTTTAAATATGAGGGAATAAATTAGTAAATAAATAAATGAATAAACAAGATAGATTTCCTTACAGTAGAAAGTCAACAAATACATGTAAAAGGAATAATATTGAAAAACAAAACCCAGCATTTGACAACCATCGTCATTATTATAGATTCAGGCCAGAACCATCAATGGATGCTAAAGCTAGTGAGTAAAATTTGAAGGAACATATTTGTAATCTCAAAGTACCTTCCCACAAGATGCTTATTAATTACAAAGTAACTTTACAAAGTAAAATAACATTATTATTTTAGAAAGTAATATTACCATGGAGAAACTTGGCTGATGTTACCTGTCAACGAAAAGAGTCGAACTCTGTAAAATATTTGAAGAGATTTATTCTGAGCCAAATATGAGTGACCATGGCCTGTGACACAGCCCTCAGGGGGTCCTGAGAACATGTGCCCAAGGTGGTCAGGGTACAGTTTGGTTTTATATACTTTAGGGAGGCCTGAGACATCAATCAAATACATTTAAGAAATACATTGGCTTGGTTCAGAAAAGCGGGACAACTCAAAGCAGAGGCTTCCAGGCTATTGGTAAATTTAAACGTTTTCTGGATGACAATTGGTTGAGTTTATCTGAAGACCTGGGATTAATGGAAAGGAATGTTCAGGTTAAGACAAAGGATTGTGGCAACCAAGTTTTACAGTGCAGAGGAATCTCTCAGCAGACTTCAAAGAGAGAGCAGGTTGTAAAATGTTTCTTTTCAGACCTAAAAGGGTGCCTGGCTCTTAGTTGATTATCTCCTGGATCAGGAAGGAAAGGAAGGAAAACAAAGGGGAGAAGGGATTCCCTATAGAATGTGGATTTTTCCCACAAGAGGTTTTGCAGGGCAATTTCAAGTCATGGCAAGAAGATATATTTTGGAGTGAAATATTTTCTTCCTTGTCTCATAATGTTATGCCAGAGTCAGATTGAAAAGCAAGTCACAATATACAGGGTCAAATAAAACCCATCTGATGAGAATCCATGGTTTGCAGGGCATGACTCCCCAGACCCCTTAGAGAGGAACTTGGGCAAGATAAAAAATCAGAGCTTAGTCCTCATACCTTAACCAAAGGATCAAAGTTCACATTACTAGTAATGAGACAAGGGTTCAGCAGGTGCCTCCTGATAAGCTGCACCGAGAGGAACCCAACACCACTCCTACAGCATTGCCACTGAAAGCATGCAACCCAAATGCAATCACAAGGAAACATTGGAAAAACCCCAATTAAGGGACATTCTACAAAATAACTGTCTGGTACTATGAAGAAAAGTCAACATCATGAATATGAAGAGAGACTCAAGAACAGTTCCATATTAAAGGAGACTAAAGAGATGCAACAATTGAATACGTAGTCCTGGGTGTTTTTTTTTTTTGCTATAAAGGAAATTATCAGAAAAAATTGATGAAATTTGAATAAAGTCTATAGACTGGAAAATAACATTGCAGCAATCTTATCAGTTATTACATCAACAATCAATATATATGGTAAGAAGGAAAAGGATAAGACAAATGTAGTAAAATGTTAACATTTGAGGCATTAGAGTAAAATGTTTTCTACTATTCTTGTAAATTCTCTCTAAATTGAAAAATTACGTCAAAACTAAATTTTTTTAAAAAATAATTTGGGCTATTCTTTGAGTTATCTAAAGACATGTGTACATGTTTCCAAGCCAGGGTTGGGGGCTGGGAATGCTTGCTACTTTTCAAGCAATGGCCAAGCCTGGTCTTCTTCTTGGACATGAGAACACAGCTGGCTTCTGAGACCTTTGTGAGCCACATCACCATGTGATCTGAATTTGAGCCAGTTCTAAACCTTTTGTGGTTGTTTCAAAATCGCTTAGGAAAAAAATTGGTGATGATGGGGAATGGTGGGGAGGAGCAGCTGCGTTTCTAAGAGAACACATGCCCTATACACCCCTGCCCAGTCGTCCCATAGGATATTCTTGGCTGCTGAGAGGGAGAAATCAGAAAGTCAAGGACCATGTGCTCCTGTCTCTAAGCCTGTTCAGTGATGGCTGAGCCAGAGACTCAAGCCTTAGGAGCTGACTTGTTATGGCCCTAAAAATAATTCAGAAGTAGCCCGAAGCTACTGACTCATCAGACACCCTGAGGGCTCTCTTGCTGGCATTAGGAAACTCTGAGAAATCTAATTAAACTTTTATTCAACCCCCTCTCTGGGAGCACAGACTAGTGAAGAGCAAGTGACAATGGTCTGGTTCAGCTTGGGTGTCTCCTGAAGGTGGGAGGTGCGGAGACAGCCTCCAATCCCAGTGAGGGAGCATGGGCAGTGGGAAGACCCTGCAACATGGGATTCCTGAGGCTGGGTCCCAGGAAGGACAGGCTCATTTTCCCACTTCATATCAGGGGCCAAGTGCTCCATGTCCATGCATTTCTCTGAGCCTGCTTAGTTACTGGTGAATCAAATAAATAAAATCAAGACAATATTTAATATTCATTGAGTACTTATTGTGTGCCCTTCACTGTGCTAACCACCCTAATAGAAAATCTCATTTAATCCTATGCAGGTGTTAGTAGTCCCATTTTAGAGTCGAGGGTATTGAAGCTAAGAGAGGCAAAGCAATTTATCAAGCCTCCTTTGAGAGAGTGAAGGAGCAACTAAATTTACCATTAAACAGGGAAGCCAAGTATAAATAACCACATGAAATATGAAATAGCAATGAAAGAGCCATCTTAGAAAAGGCTATCTTCATGGACTTTTCATCAGTGACCTCATCCAATCTCAAGACTCCAAACATCTCCTCCATCAGGGGATCCTTAGATCTCTAGCTCTTGGTCCAGCCTCTCTCTTGAGCTACATAAACTCCTTATTTTTAGCTGTGGGCCTGACCTTTCCTCTAGGCAGCTCTGCCTGGAGCTCACACTCAGCCTGGCCAAAACTGAGCTCATGTCATTTCTCTCTTCTTCCAAAATGAACCCCACTTCCGATGTTTCTATTTCTGGCCCAATGACACCATTGTCCTGAGGAATAAGGTTTGAAATCTTGAGCTTTTTCATCCCTGTTCCATTATATGCTGCCTAATATACTATTTTTCTCCTTTTACTTCCTTTACCATGCCTGCCCCATTCCACCACCACCCCACCCCACCCCACCTGCCTGCACATCTATCTAAGGAAATGTGGGCTCTCTTAGCAGGGAAATGTGATATAAATCCTTCCTTATCCATCCCTCAGAGCACATGCTACAAAACTGACCCAGAATAATATTTTGAAAGTTGATGAATCAGAGAACAAAAAGGTCAAATCCTGGACACTCACTTTGTGTAGATCTGATTTTAATGGCTCATACGAATACTTTTATTTCCAAAAGAAATGAGATGGAGGATACTAGAGTTTTTAAAAATATTTCCTTAGACTCTACGATGAGCTGAGCCTTGTGCTAGTTTCTTTCACACACATTACCTAATTTAATTCTTATAAAAACTTTGCAAGACAGGT
This sequence comes from Homo sapiens, assembly GCF_000001405.40. Classification (NCBI taxonomy): domain Eukaryota; kingdom Metazoa; phylum Chordata; class Mammalia; order Primates; family Hominidae; genus Homo; species Homo sapiens. The sequence continues at coordinate 223,425,440 of NC_000001.11, forward strand.
AGTAAAAAACTCGCTGTAGACAAGTTCAAAATCAAGCTCATTTTGAGAAGCTAAATAACATGCTCAACTCACACAGCTAGTAAGTTCACCTCTCCTTTTGCAATCTCTCCCTAAGTGATTTCCTCCAGATTTAAAACCCATCCATAAACTGCTCAGATTCGGATCTACAGCTCTGTGTTCCAGACTCCACAAAAGCACCTCCTCACATCTCCACTTAGAGGGCTGATCCACCCAGATGACTTCACATGTCCAAAACATAAGCCTTGATTTTTCCCTCCTCACTGAAATAGGTCCTTCCTTTTCCCGATATTTCCCACCCAGTTAGTGACATCATCATTGCTTGGGCCAAAAACCTACAAGTCATCCTTGATTTGCCTCTTTCCTCCTTCATGCACACTTAGTCTGTTTGGCAAGGCTTTTGGGCTCTATTTCCAAAGCGGGCCTTTCGTCCAAATACCTCTCTCCATCTCCACAGCTGAAACCCTAAACCAAGCCCGTGCTGTCTCTGAGCTAGTTGATTCCAGTGGTCTTTCAACCCTGCCTGCCTCCACTCCTGCCACCCACCTTCCCGCTCCATAGCACATCCTCCTCACAGCAGTGTGAGTGATCCTTTGACAGCAGAGGTTAGGTCATGTCGTGCTCCTGCTTAAAGCCCTCCATGATGTCCCATCATCACGGCCTCCAAGGCCTGCTGAATTTCCTGCCTCTTCTGCACCACTCCCTCCTCTGCCTTCCAACCCCTGGCAACTGCTGATCTTTTTGAAAGCTGATCAATCAGATCAATTTGCCTTTTCCAGAATGTCATAGAGTTGAAATCATGCAGTATGTAGCCTTTTCAGATTAGCTTCTTTTACGTAGTAATATGCATTTAAGTGTCCTCCCTGTCCTTTCATGGCTTAATAGCAAGTTCCTAGGGATATATCACTTTATTCCACCCTTTGCAGCCAGTCTGACCCCAGGCAAGATAAGCTAAGGTGAGTGGTGGGCAAAAAGCAGGGGTCTGAGGTCTGCTATAGTTCTCCACAGTCAGTCCCACCTCGAATGATCCATGCTTCCATGGCAGGGTGGATATTGTGGCATGGATCCAAACCCCCGATTTCACCCTGCTATAGATGCTACTGTCTGCCTTTTCAACAGGTATTCCCTTCTTCCTAAGGGGCCAAAGTTTATCCAAGGATAAAATTTATCTCCCCTCCTCAGCTTGCCATGTCCTTTGGGGAGGGCACATCCCCAATCCCAAAGGCCAATACGAGTCTAAGCCAATCATAGTGGTCCTATTCCCCTTGCCTGTGACTGATTTAGGCATGACCATGGCTTGCATCTCTGGCCAAGGACACATCATGGGAAATCTGTGAGGCTTCTGTGAAAGATCCCTTCACTTGCCCAGAAAAAAGACACAAGGAAAGACAGTTTCTCTTCTTCTGCAGAAATAGTGTGTCTTTGTGTCCGGGTGTGACACATGGAACTAAGGCAGTCATCTTGACCTAAGAATAAAGCTCACTTGAGGAAGAGAGCAGAGCAGAAGAATGAAAAGAAACTGGAGCCTTGCTGGCTTACTAGGACACTGAGTTAGCTAATCCCTGAAGCCCTACCTCAAGGCTTTTTTTTTTTTAATGTGAGAAAATACACTGTTTCTTGTCCAAACCACTCTGAGCTAAAGTTTCTGTTCTTGCAGCCAAAAGCAGCCTCAGGGAGACATGACCTGTTGAAGCTTCATCAATCCACTTCTTGGCTTAGCTTCAGCCTTTTATTAGTCAATCTCAAAAGGTACTCCAAGTCAAATTGTTGCTGCCTTTAGCAACAAGGTGATCTGCATTTGGATTTCCTTGGTCTTGAACTATTCTCACTACATGGAATCCTTCCAGATAGAGAAAGGCCATGTGCGATGAATAACAATTTTGACATATCTATTGCACTTTGCATTTTATAGAATTTTCAATCTTTCCTTCAATAAACACTTCTTAAGCACCTACTGTCCGCCAAGCACAGGTAAGAATGATGCAGTAACGAACAAAACAGACAAGGTCACTGTCTTTATGAAGCTTATCAAGAAACAAGTACAAGATTGCGGTGAATGACAGGAAGGAAATAAATAGAACAAAGAAAGAGTAAATAAGGAACTGGGGTGGGGTGAATTCTTTAAATTAGGTGGCCAGGGAAAGCCTCTCTGAGATGGTAATTTGTATTTTTCTGCTATAATTAAACTTTCTTTATTGTTGCAAAGTATACATAACATAAAATGTATCACTATAACCATTTTTAAGCGTACAGTTCAGTGGCATTAAGTACCTTCACATTATTGAGCAACCATCGCCACCATTCATTTCCAGAACTTTTTCATCATCCCAAACCGAAAATCAATAACTGTAAATCAATAAACATTAACTCCCCATTTCCCCTTCCTTCCAGACCCTGAAACCACAATTTTACTCTTTTTCTCTATGAATTTGACTTCTTTAGGTATCTCATATAAGTGGAATTATAAAGTATTTGTCTTTTTGTCACTGGCTTCCTTCACTTAGCATAACGTCCTCAATGTTCATCCATGTTGTAGCATGCGTCAGAATTCCCTTCCTTTTTAAGGCAGAATAATATTCCATTGTATGTTTATACCACATTTTAAAACATCCAGGTGTCTGTCAACGGACACTTGGGTTTGAGGAAGTGACAGGTGAAATGCGAGTTTAAAGGATGAGAAGACCCAGCCACAGGAACTGCTGAAGGGAGTGTTGCTTGGCAGATGGAACAGTGGTTTCTTGGCAGATGGAAAGTTAAAGGCCTGGGCAACTCCTAAGCTTTCCTTAAGACCCGAAGCCAATGCCAGCACATTACTTTTCAAAGTATTCTCTCCCTTTCCTGAGCAATTTGTCAATTTCTGTCTATGCTTCCAAGAAACTTTACCTGTATTTATTCCATTGCATTGTTGTCTCCCCTACCAGGCTATGGTTGTGTCTTAGCTGTTTTGTGTTGCTGTAACAGAATACCAGAGACTGGGTAATTTATAAGCAATAGAAGTTGATTTGGCTTATGATTCTGGAGGCTGGGAAGTCCAAGAGCATGTGACAGCATCCCGTGAGGACCTTTGTGTTTCATCATCCCATGGCAGAAGGTGAAAGGGCAAGACAGTGTGAGAGCAAGGGAGCAGGAGGGGGCTGAACTTGCTCTTATAATAAGCCCAGTCTCTTGATAACTAACCCACTCCATCAATAACAACATTCATCCATTCATGAGGGCATAGCCCTTATGACCTAATCATCTCTTATTAAGCCCCACCTCCCAACACTGTTGTATTGAGGATTAAGTTCCCAACACATGAACATTGGGAGATACATTCAAACCATAGCAAGTTCCATCACCCCTCCCCAACAAACCTTTTTCTAGCAGGTGCAAACAAATTACAAAACTGGTGAATTAGAGCTGCCAACAAACTGCAAAAATGATGGATTTGAGTTTCTCCTTACCCTTAGTTCCATAAGGCAGAAGAGATAAGGAACAAGGTGAAATACCAAATGCAGGCAGCAAAGGAAAATAAGTGAAGAGCCTTCATCATCTGCTAGTTAAGCCCTGAATTTAGAACCATAGCTTCCAGGAGCTGGAAGGGATATTAAGGGATATTGGAGATCACCTAATACAATGCATTTGCTTGGTCCTGGGATGAAATGTTTTATGCAAACCTCTGGAATGGACATGATTGGTTGGAAGCAGAGAAGGTTCTCAGCAGTCCTGAGAGGTGCTTAAAGTGAGTTTTCAAATGCCCATTTATATCCTCCCAATGACCCCCAATAGCTGGACCCCCTTATATTACTCCAAGATTGGACGGCAGGCTGATGGGAAAAAGGGGTCCTTGCAGAGCCCCACAGCTCATACCAGCAAGTGCTACAAACAGTCCCTGGGAGACGTGATTTACTCTGGGCCTTTGCTGGGAGGGAGGGAGGAGAACAGCTGTAAATGCCACTGTCCCAGAGATGATGGATCCCAGAAAGTGGGACAGAGTTGGTCTTTCTCCAAAGGACACCTCTCTGTAAGCAGAAATGGGCTGAGAGAGGGTAGCTGGTGGTGCCAAGGCCTCTGGTGCATTCTGGTGGTAGGTGGGTGGACAGACCATTCTGGAAATGGCTTGTCATAGCCCGCTCTTGACTCATCCAAATGGGCCTGAAATTGCCAGGGCTGTGACTGTGCTTTGCATGAGCTTGCCCTCTGCAGCCCAAAATATCCTTCTCTGATTCTGTGCCATGAGTTGATTAACAGTCTCTCTTGGAATAATTCCCAGGCTGCCTCAATCCTTTTCAGAATCTATTTTCTCACTTTACATGGGGCACCTTTTAAATGTGGACAGGGTAATATAAAATAGTGCCAATGCTGGATTCTCAGAAAACAGCTAGGTATTAGATCTGTACTTATTAAGCCCTCACATAGAAATAGGAAGACATTTGCCTTTAATTTATACTTCATCAATCCAAAAATTATCCAGAACCTAGCATGTGCTCAGAACTAAGCATTTTGGAGGAGAAAGTATAACATGTATAGCATGACACGATCCTGGCCCTTCACAGATTTATTAACTTCCTTGAAATGACTAATATATGTGAAACAATGAGGAAAAAAAAATCAATGCTCTGGTATGTGGACTCTTTGTGCATAACTTATGGGCTGCCATCCACCCCTGAGAGGGACTTCCTTTCTATGGGATAGGGCTCCCCTGGAATATTTTTGCAGGTTAACTAGGCACTGTTCTTCCAAACATGGCATTCCTTCCAAATGCTCTAACATATTCTTATGTGAATAAATTTCATCCGCAAGTGACACTCCATAATCCTTAGTGCAAACACCAAGTATGGACACTGTATATAAACTCTGAGGACTGGGAGAACATCTCAGTGACAGCTTATAACTTGGCCCTGGAAAGTCAAGATGCCAGTGCCCCCACCAGTTGCCAGCTTGGGCCACTTTCCCTCTTTCCTTCAAGACTTCCCAGTGTGCTGGCTCTGGGCCTCTCCAAACAACCGTGTGTTGTGGCTTCAGCAGGCATGATTGCCACTTGTTTTCCTGGAGCTGGATCTTGCAAACTTCACACCCTTGTCCTCTGTGTTACAGAGAATGGCCTTTGTGTTTGTCTATCTGAGCTGTCATCTCTTTGCAATGGCCACATGCCATTTTCCTCTTCCTCTCTTTTTGCTTGAATCACAAGTTTTAGGGGAAAAAAATTAGAAGCAATTCATCTCTGAGAAATTCTACACTTGGCTAGTTTCTGCCCCATGTGATGGGATCAAGCCAAGTCACCATGTTTGTCCAAAATATTACAAGTGCAAAGGAACCCAAAGGAGGGAGAAGTCAGTGTGGAATGAAATGGGCTGAGAGGGAGGCATGGAGGAGGCATGAATGCTAAGGGAAGGAAGGAGGACCCCAGCAGGGTGAGGAACTGACGCAGACCTACGCAGGCTAGGTGGGGCCAGCTGAGGGTGACACACTGGGCCAGAGGGGATGGGGTGATGAGAGGAGGTGAATAAAGTCCATTCAGCAGCTAAGAGTGATAGAAGGGTTAATTTTATGTGTCAACTTGACTGGCCTAAGGAATGCCCAGAGAGATGATAGACATTATTTCTAGGTCTTTCTTGGAGAGTTTAGCATTTGAACCAGTGGGCCCTGTAAAGGAGATTGCCCTCACCAATGTGAATGGGTACCATCTCATCCATTGAGGGCCTGAATAGAGCAAATAGTGGAGGAAGGGCAAATTGTGTCTCCCTGTCCTTAAGCTGGGACATCCACCTTCTCCTGCCACCAGACATCAGAGCTCCTGGTTCTGGGGCATTTGGACTCCAGGATTTATGCCAGCAACCCCATCCACACCCCTTCCCTTCCCTGGTTCTCAGGCCTTTGGCCTCAGACTGAATTACACCACCGGTTTTCCTGGGCCTTCAGTTTGCAAATGGCATTTGACTTCCATAATCATGTGAGCCAATTCCCATAATGTGTCCACTCTTATAGATAGCTATACATATCCTATTGGCTGTGTTTCTCTGGAGAGCTCTGGCTAATATGAGTGAGCACCTACTATGTGCAGGCACTGAGCTGGGGCCTGAGAACACAGCAAAAGACAAGATGGACAAACCTCTCTGTCCACTATACCAAAATATAATGGAGCATACATTCTGGCGGGCAGAGAAATGTAACAAATAAAATAATAAGTAAACTGTACATTTTTCAGAACCTGATAAGTGCTATGGAAGAGAAAAAAAGCAAGGAAGATGAAAGGGCAACCTGGAGAGGATGAAAAGTACCAAAATGTAAATATGATGGTTATATGTATAGAAATATTTATGGTTACATGAGAAATATAATGGTTATATTTCTCAGGCTAACTGAGAAAGTGGCATTTGAGCAAAGGTTTGAAGGAGTTGATAGATTGTGCTATCTGAAGACCCGAAGGAGGAATGATCCAGGCAGATGAACTAGCAAGGGCAAAGGCCCTGAGGTAGGAGCTAAATCTGCATATCTTCAGGAGCACTGGAGTGAAACAAGCAAGAAGAGCCTGGTTGACCAAGTTGATGAGGTAATGGGGAGACATTGTATATGGCCTGATAGGCCATTGAAAGGACTTTCTGGCTGGGTGCTGTGGCTCACACCTATAATCTCAGCACTTTGGGAGGCTGAGGGGGGCAGCTCACATAAGGTCAGAAGTTCAAGACCAGTCTGGCCAGTTGGTGAAACCCTGTCTCTAATAAAAATCCAAAAATTGGCCGGGCGTGGTGGCTCAGGCCTGTAATCCCAGCTACTTGGGAGGCTGAGGCAGAAGAATCACTTGTACCTGGGAGGCAGAGGTTGCAGGGAGCCAAGATCACACCACTGCACTCCAGCCCGGGTGACAGAATGAGACTCCATCTCAAATAATAATAATAATAATAAAATAAAAAGAGAGGACTTTTTTTTACTCTGAGTGACATGAAGAGAGCTTTAGCAGCCTCTCTCTGGCTACTGGGCTGCCACTAGGGAGGCAGCAGGAAGCCAGGTCAGGAGAGAATCTAAGTACCCAGGTAAATGAACATGATGGCAGGACCAGCAGGGTGGCTATGAAGGTGAAAAGTAGGGGAGGCTGAGCATATTTTTAAGGTGGTCTGAACAGGTTGACAGTTGCCTAGGATACAGGCTGGGATGTAAGAGAAAGAAAGCACTCAAGGAAGACTCCAGCATTTTTGGCCTGAATAGCTGGAAGAAAGGAGGTTGTATTAAGGGAGGTGGTTAGATTGTGGGGTACGGGGAGGACTTGGCAAGGAAAGTGGGGTTTCAAGTATAAAGACTGGATTTTGCCCTGTAGGCAACGGGAAGGATTTAGACTCCTGAGCAGATGAATTCGTGTTTGTGATTGCATTAGTGTTGTAGAAAGGCAAATCTGGCCTTTATACAAGAGGGACTGCAGCAGAGAAAGACAATAGACAGAAAGACAGGCTTGGAAACTGTCTTAATCTAGACATGAAGTGGTAGTTACGGGAATGGAAACTGGAGAAATCTAAATCTAATGCAAACGTGCAGTGGAGTCACATTTGGGATTTAGTAAAAATACATTCAACCCTCCTATATCCCCCAGGAAGACCTATGGCCTCCCTGCATTGTCATCTCTATGATTGCAAAGGCTTATGCTTGCACAGCCATTTCTCATGCTGTTTGTTTGAACTCATGCTGTCACTCTGTCGCACTTCTTGTTTGTTTGTTTGTGATAGAGTCTCATTCTGTCACCCAGGCTGGAGTGCAGTGGCACAATCTTGGTTCACTGCAACCTCCACCTCCTGGGTTCAAGTGATTCTCCTACCTCAGCCTCCCAAGTAGCTGGGATCACAGGTGCACACCACCACACTCAGCTAAGTTTTTTTGTATTTTTTGGTAGAGACGGGGTTTCATCATGTTGCCCAGGCTGCTCTCAAACTTCTGACCTCAAGTGATCTGCCCACCTTGGCTTCCCAAAGTGCTGGGATTACAGGCGTGAGCCACCGCACCTGGCCTGTCTCATTTCTGGGAGCTGGTTTCTTCTCTCTGACTCAAGTGGAACATATCCAGAAGTTGCCTTGGCCACTTCCGCATGTCTACCACTGGCTAGAACCGGGGCAAAAGTTCATCTTTAGTTGCAAACGGGACTAGGATTTGCTATCTTTCTTCTGGGAAGTCCTGTGCCCTGTCAAATTTAGGAATTTCTTTTCCTTTTTTTTTTTTTTTTAATAGAGGAATAAGGGAAGTGGCTACTGGGGAACAAGGCCCCTTCCTTTCAGCTGTCTGACCTCTCAGGACTTTCACTCCCCAGCCTACTCCAGCCATACCCGGAGGGCCTTGTTTTCCAACCAGAAACACCCTTTTTTTAAAAAAAAAAAAAATAATAATAATTTTAATTAATGTATTTATTTTATTTATTTATTTTTTCTGCTTCTTGTGGAGCAGGGTTACCCTATAGGCAGTGTGCCCAGAGTAGCCCAGACATACCCTTAAATTTAACTTCTAAACAATACTGTTCTCTCCCTGAGAAGAGTTCTATGCCAGCCTCTTAAAGTAATGCTTTTTCTTCCAACCCACAGAAGAATGACCGTTTGAAGGAAGGACATTTTAATGACAGGACTTTGTGATGATGAAGAGAGAAAATTTAGATTTCTGTCTTTGGGAGCTGGAAAAATTGGAGCTGCACTATTAGAAATAATGTAATTAGGAAGGAAGAAAGAGTGTAAATAAAAATAGATGGCAGGGGCCGGGCGCAGTGGCTCAGGCTTGTAATCCCAGCACTTTGGGAGGCAGAGATGGGAGGATCACTTGATGCCAGGAGTTCAAGGCCAGCTTGATCAACAGAGTGAGATCCCATCTCTATTTTATATAGAGATATACACATAAAATGCATATCACAAAATGTATATAAAATGTATAGATAGATAGATAGATAGATAGATAGACAGACAGATAGATAGATAGATAGACAGACAGATAGATGGTGAGGAGGTGGGACAGGGATGGGAAGATAATGTATTTTAGGATGAAATGATTATGTGAGGTTTGGACATGATACATTAGAGGTAAGGGTGGGCATATTAAGGTAAAAATGTACTCTACGCCCTTGAAAACATAGAAAAAATGTCAGGTTATAAAGTCAGGCTGAAGAATGGACATCATCTCTGTGGGTCTCAGTTTACTCATCTGTAAAGTTGGGGTAGTAATAGAATTTTAAAAAATTAATTAATTAAAAAAAATTTTTTTAGAGACAAGGTCTTGCTCTGTCGCCCAGGCTGGAGTTCAGTGGTGCTATCATGGCTCACTGCAGCCTCAAACTCCTGGGCTCAAGGGATCCTCCTACCTCAGCCTCCCCAAAAGCTGGGACTACAGGTGTAGGCCACCACTCCTGGCCTAATAGAACCTATTAAACGACACAGAGCATGTGTTAATGATGTAGACACACAGAATAGAAACAGCATATTAGAAACATATTAGAAACCGCAGCAGCGAAGACCATGGGGGATAAAGAAAGACATGCATGGGTACAAAGTGAAGGCAAGGGCAGGATTGGACCCTAAATGGCCACCAAAACACAGGGGCTAGGTTGGAGGGAACCACAGAGAGACAAGGCTGGGAATCTGCTCAGGTCTGTGGGAGAGGTGAACCAACCCAGGTAGGACCCTGGGGCTCCCGCCACGGCGACCTCGTCTCTAAGGGCAGCAAGGCCCAAGAGAAGGTTAGATGTGCTGAGCACAGGCCCAGCTCACAAACAAGTCCTCTCTATACCTCTAACCTTGTTGATTCTATGAGCAGGATAATTTTGAGGGCTGGCCTGCTAATCTCAGAGAGGCAGGTGCTCTTGTGGGCGTTTTGGTGCCCTTTTCGTGTAAATGTGCCACAGGGAAGTACATTCAGAATTGATTGGTGCTTTCTGCCTATGTTGGTATCCCCAGCTCATTCCCTTCACAATTTTCTCATCACGTAGGGACTTAAGGGATACGGTGAAGCAACCTGGCCAAACAGCCATATTATTTGTTTTCCTCTCTTTGGTATTTTAGAGGTGATGAAAAAGAATCTGTCATATTATTTACAGTAAAATGCCACACATACAATCCCTTTGACATTCAAATCTGGACTTAAATACCGTGAAACATGCATGCCTTCCTTAAAGGATTGCTTCTCTAATGCACATAATTCATTGTTATCTCTACATGACCAGGTGTAATTTGAGGGACCAGAAGATTCATTTTCCTATTTAAAACAATGAAGGGGGTTGAGATCCTGATTTGTATGGTAGCTGCTTTAGGCTGCCAGCTCTAGATATTTTCATCTTTGATCTAGGCTGGTGTCTGTTTCAGAGCAAAAGCAGCCAGGAGCAATCGGAAAGATAAGCACACACCAAGCGGGAACTTTTGCCAAGAGGGAAAATCTTATCTAACCCAACTGGCACAAAGATGTGCTTGTCCCCTAGCGCAAATTGAGAAGAGTCTTGAGGTCAAGGAGGAAGGTGGAAATGGCCTGGAGGTCACACAGCCCTTGCCTCTGTCATAACGATGGGTCTTCCTATCAAAGAATTGTTCGGGACTGTGTTAGTCCAGGTCCTCTGGGAAGCAGATGGCAAGAGATTTACTGGGGGAAATGTCAGAAGGATAAAGAGGAAAAAGCAGGAGAAGGGAGGAAAGGCTTCAGACTGTGATGCTGGCCTGGGCCCTGTGGAGGAGAGAGAGAAGGCAGGATGATTGATTGGGCTGGAAGAGTTGCAGTAGTGCTGTTCCAAGAAAGATTTGACGAGGCCCATGAGGGATCTCCCAAATCAAAGTGGCTCCTCAAAGGAGGCCCCCGTCCTGCAGGAATGGATCTGCTTTAGCACCTCCACCTTGCTCAGTCATTGACTGGGACCAGCCTGGGGGATGCCTGGCCTCGGTGCCAGTACAGCGATGGGCGCATCTGCAGCACCAGTCAGCCTCGCTCCATGCAGTGGAAGACCCAAGTGGCACATTCTCATGGCTACCCCAAGGACGATTTGCAAGAAGTCATGTCTAAAAAGCCTGATAAAGATCCTTGTGAAAATGTCCATGACTCAGTTACCAATAGCAATGAATTCTACTCAAACTGACCACTGCTCATTTAAATGGTTCTGAAAGTCAAGGGACAAAAGTGGGGATCCCTACATGTGGGGATTGAGCAGAGACTGAATCTGGCTGTAGGTTTTGAGCTGTGTCCTACCCTATGAACTGTTTTTACGACACCCCTCCTGACACCAAATGGTTGGGATTTTACCAACTAATTCTGTAACTCTCCAGACACTAACTGGGTGTCCTACATTTCAATTCAATTCTGACTCTAACCACCTGGAGTTAGCGCAGACCCCATAGGTTCTAGGGCTCAGTCCCACAAGACCGCCCTTCAACTTCAGACAGTCACAAGTCCTGGGCCTCCCATACTCTTGACAAGCTGGCTATAAAGTTGGGGGTTCCCATGACTCCCCCTCAGGTCCAATAATTTGCTAAAATGGCTCACAAAACTCAGGGAAACATTTTATTTACATTATAAAGGATGTAACTCAGGAACAGCCAACTGGAGGAGATGTGTAGGGCAAGAGATGGGGATAGGGGTGCATTGTGCTTCCATGCCCACTCTGGTGCTCCACTCTCCCAGCACCTCAGTATGTTTACCAACCTGGAAGCTCTCGTAGCCCTATCATTTAGGGGTTTTTAATGGAGGTTTCATCACATAGGCATGATGGATGAAATCACTGGCCATTGATGATAAGCTCAATCTCCCAACCCACCCCTTCCCAGGAGGCTGGGGTTGTGGCTGAGAGTTCCCACCCTCTAACAATGGCTTGGTCTTTCTGGTGACGAGCCCCCAGCCTGAAGCTATCAAGGGACCCAAAAACAGCGGTCTCATTAGAACAAAAAAGACACTGTTATCATGCAGAAAATCCCAAGGGATTTAAGAGCTCTGGTGCCAGGAACCAGAGACAAAGAACAAAGTCATATTTTTTTTTATTATATCACGCACATACTGTCAGTGTGTCACTGAGTTTATTGTAGTAATAATAGTAATAATAACCACTACAACCTCTACAAAGGACAGAACTAGGTTCTCATGCTTGCTAAGAGTGATGCCTACCATAAAAAGCCACAGCAGAATTTTCTTACTCTCATGTATAATTTCCAAACCCTTCCAAATGAGGATAACAGCCTGTGCCCAAGGCATCCTTTAATAAGAGAGGGACAGGGCAGCCAGTCAGGGGGGAATGAAGGCTCACCAGCCAGAGAGGCACACGGGAGAAGCTGACGCAGTGTGCAAAACCAGCAACTGACAACCGAGGGACTCAAGGGCCTCCATAACTTGCCCACTCTTCTGTCCCACACGCTCTGGGGATGGCTTCCTCCAAGATTTCAGCCAGGCAGCCTCCCTCCACTCTCTTCCCACCCCTCCCCTACTGCCTCAGACCTGCCCTGGCTTTCTTTCTGAAGGAGCCTCTGGTAGGGAGAGGACAACTTAAGGTTTGCAGGTTTACCATATATTAATTTGACCAATTAATTGCTATTTAGCCTTTTGTATCTGCCAGGATCCTTTTAAACACAAACTGGTTAATTCTTACATCCCTTTGGTTTTTCCTCTGGGCCTAGGCTCATGCTATGAACATATTAGATGCTCAATGCATACTTATTGACCAGTTTGTTTATTCTGTGAATAAATACTATCCAAAGTGTGTTAAGAGCCCTTGCAGCACAGTGATTGCATCACAGAACCCAGCGCTGGTTACAGATTGCCTTTATCTAGAAGGCTTCGGTTATGAAAATACTGTCTTCCAACTGGACTAGAAGGAACTTAAGGGCAGGAAGAAGTACAGATTGATCCACCATCTTCTTTCCTGCAACTCTAGAAACCAAAAAGTTCTGAGAATGAACGTGGCTTTGTTCAAAGTTTGAGGTGAACTCCCTTGGCGGTAAAACATGACCTGAACTGATATAAGACTATAGTCTTCGTTTATCCTCATAGAATGAATATTCATACATTCCACTGCAAATATTAATGTGTTGCTCGCCTAGTGCTGGCCCAGACCCCACTTGCGGCATTACGTAATGTATAGTGGGGAGCTGAATTACCTTTTGCTATGGTCTGAATGTCCCCCAAGATTCATGTGTTGAAACTTAATTGCCAGTGTGACAGTATGAAGAGGTGGGGCTTTTAGGAGGTGATTAAGTGATGCGGGCAGAGCCCTGATTAAAAAAACTCGGGAGAACTAGCAAGCCCCTTTGCCCTTCAGGCTTCCGCCAAGTGAAGATGCAGCAACAAGGCACCATTATGGAAGCAGAGACCCCTCATTAGGCACCCAACCTGCCTGCGTCTTTCTCTTGGACGTCCCAGCCTCCAGAACTGTGAGAAATAAATTCCTAATCTTTATAAATGACCCAGGCTGTGGTGTTTGTTATGGCAGCAGGAACAAACTAAGATACCTTTCTAAATGTGAAAAATTCTGACTTAGAAACATACCTGACTCTAGAGATTTTGCATAAAAGGTTGTAGTCCTGAATTCTGCATCAATCAATATAGTTGCAGAAGCAAGTAACTGATAGTCCCACACAAATTGGCTTAAATAATAAAAAGAATGTATTGACTCACACAACTAAAAGTCTATAAATTGCGTGGCTTTCAGGCATGGTTTAATCGAGAGGTTCGAAGTTATTAAAGCCCTACGTCCTCTGTCTCCAATATTCTTGCCTTTACACTCCTTTGTCTTTTGGCTTTATCCTAGATTGTCTTTACACATTGTAGCAAAAATGATTGCAGTAGTTCCAGGCCTTGCAGGGGCACCCCACGTGGCTCAGAGGAAGAAAGAACATCTTTGTCCTGGTACTCCAAGAAAAAAGTCCCATGGCCACACCTGAATGGCCACACTAGATGTGTTTGGGTGGGGTGGGAGGTAAATTGGGCTGATTAGTTTTGCCTAGGACAAGCATGCTACCTCTAGGGCTAGGGCAAAATTAGTTGACCTGAAGCCACATGGATCTCCAAACAAAAACCAGGAATGATAGGGAAGTGGAAGGAAAAATGAATACTGTGGAGGTAACAACCACCTCATTGCCTTTTACTCTGTAGTCAACACACTCCTGAGCGTATTAAAAACACTTAACATATACTGGCCTGTGTTCAACTCAAACCTGATCCCCAATGGTCAACAAGGATTCTGTTTTCTTTATGTTATTAGCTTGCTCTTTCTTTCTTTCTTTCTTTCTTTCTTTCTTTCTTTCTTTCTTTCTTTCTCTTTTTCTTTCTCTCTTCTTTCTTTCTTTCTTTTCTCTTTTTCTTTCTTTCTCTCTTTCTTTCTTTCTTTCTTTCTTTCTTTCTTTCTTTCTTTCTTTCTTTCTTTCTTTCTTTCTTTCTTTCTTTCTTTCTTTTTCCTTCTTTCAACAGTCTTGCTCTGTCATCATCCAGGCTGGAGTGTAATGCCACGATCATAGCTCACTGCAGCCTCCAACTCCTGGGCTCAAGTAATCCTCCTGCTTCAGCCCCTCAAAGTGTTGGAATTACAGGCATGAGCCACTGTGTCTGGCCTCTTTATATCATTAGCTTTCTACCCTCCTTTATGATCCTATGCAGCTTCCCATGTGCTTATCTTAAAGTATTTATTCTATGCATTATATTCTACCTTGTATCAGTCATTTGTGTAAATATCATCTACCTTATTGAACTCTAAGCTCCTTTAGGTGGGATCTAGATTTAGGTGGGGTTCTAGCTTGGTTCTGTGCTTAGTATATATCTTGCAATGAAAAACATTCAATGAGTGTTGGTGGATCCAAGTCTATTCCCCACCTCAGATCAAGGTATTAGCAATGGAAAGAACTCAGGAAAGCAGGGAGGGTGGAGTAGAGATGGATGGAGAGAGAATGATGCTCTCTTTACATGTTTTTCACTGGGAACCTACCTAAAAGCTCCACACATATCACACTAAGGTAAAGTGATTTGGGGAGCAAGAAACAGAAAACCCAGACTGAACTGCCTTGAATAATAAAGTTGACGTATTAGTTCACAAACTGGAAACTTTTGAGCCAGGGCAAGCTTTGGACCCAGCAGCTCAAGACTGTGAACATAAACCCAGTTAGTTTCCTTTCTCCAGGACTAACTTCCTCATGGTTGCCAAATAGCTGCAAGCAGTTCCAGGCATCTCATTTACACACCACACTGTCTAGAACGCATGCACAGCTTGAATGAAAAAGTGGCCAGGGGAAGGGGAAGACAGACAAGACTCACCTTTGGAAACAGAGATGGGTCAGCTTTTCCCTAAGAATTGCATGGTGTGTTCGTTTGCTAGTGCTGTCTTAACGTAGTACCGCAACCTGGGTGGCTTAAACAACAGAAATTGATCGCCTCGTACTTCTGGAGGCTTGAAGTTCAAAATCAAGGTTTCCACAGCATTGGTTCCTTCTGAGGACTGTGAGGGAAGGATCTGCTCCAGACCCCTCTCTCTCTGGCTTTTAGATGGTCATCTTCTCCCTGTGTCTCTTCACAGTGTCTTTTTTCTATGCATGACTGTCACTGTGTCCAAATTTTCCCTTCTATAAGGACATCAGTCATATTGGATTGGGGTCCCACCCTACTCCAGTATAGCCTCATTGTAACTTAATTAATTACATATACCATGACCTTATTTCCAAATACGGTATAGAGGTACCGAGGTTAGGTCTTCATCACACAAATGTGTTGGGAGTGAAGGAGAACATTTCAACCTCTAACATGTGGGAGGGAGGAGTGGATGGGATAGCTAAATGAAAATCAGGATTCTGTTAGGGAGAAGAAACAAGGAAATGGGTTCTGGGTCAGCAGTGGTAAAGGTCTCATAGTGATCTCTTTCTACAACAAAAAAAGTGCAGATGAGGCTTTCAGGGACAGCGATTGTGGAAAATCATTTTCCCTCTCTCTAGCACATGGTAGATGATGGATGAGATGACAGTAAGCCCTAAGAGATGGTTTCCTCCCTCCCACTGTCTTCCACCTCTGTGGTTTCACTGGATAGTCTCTCTCCAGCAATCATGTGCTATTTAGCCCTGAGATGCTCTGAGATGCTTTTGAACATTACCCAGTTAATCCTCATGATGCCTGCTGGGATTTCTCTTAGAGAAGAGACTCTCAAGGAGATTTATGGCAGAAATGCCCAGAAATGAGAATCCTGAAGCCACCCCACAGTCCCAAGCATTTCTATTGGCCCAGAATATTCAGCATTAAAGAGTGAAGACCACGTTTTCAGCTTTGGTAGTGTCTGGACGCCCTGATGGGGAGAGATAGCCTCACTGGTGGTGTCCGCGGGAATGTGGAAGTGAAGATGCCCCTCTGTAGAGCGCAGACACTTTATCTCATCTCAGACAGGGCTCTATGGAGGAATGGGCTGGAAAAGAATGAAGGTCACAGGGTGACCTGGGCTATGCAGAGGTGCCTGGAACACTCAAAGGAATCCCTTCAACCTGGGAAACAGAAAACGCTACCACTTGGAGCCCAAGTTATGTAGAGCATCTTGTTCAGAAAAACTCAGTTGAGATCAAGTATGACACAGCCTTACTACTTTCTATTAAAGAGGCCAACATCAACTCTAAGGGGAAGTTATATGGGATACATGGTTCTTTTATATTGTTTTGGTTTCTAAGAGCTTCTTTGGGATATGATTGATATACTATAAATTGCATGCATTTGAAGTGTACAATTTGATAATTTGTGATGTATGTATACAACTGTGACAGCATCACCATTATCAAGATAATGAAAATATCCATCACCACAAAGAGCCTCCTCCCACTCCTTCTCTCCCACCATGCTCCATCCCTTTCCTTAGGCAACCACCACTCTCCTTTCTGTTGCTGTAGATTAGTTTGCTTTTTCGAGACTTCTATATAAATGGGATCATACAGTATGTACCCTTGTTTTGGTACATACTACAATGCTGTGTGCATCAATGTTTATTCCTTTTCATTTTTGAGGAGCAGTCCATGATCTGCATGTTCATTGACCACAATTTGTTTATCCAGTCACATGTTGATGGATATTTGGATTGTTTTCCATTTCTGGCTATTTTATAAATAAAGCTGCTGTGAACATTCATGGGAAAGTCTTTGGACCTGAGGCACGCTGTTCAGTGGTGGCATATCAGCTTAGTGGGGCTGGTTTTACTTTCTGCATGTGGGTATGTGCAAGTAGTTCTAGCAAGATCCCCAAGCTGTGCTCAGCAGAGGCTGGCCTGCTGCGACTGCCGTCTCAGGCCATCTTTAGGGTCCTCGTCCTCTTCCTCAGGGCATCATCCCTGGCTTTTGCTTTGCTCTCCTTCGTTCCTCAGCCCCTACTGCTGCCATAATTAGTGACTAGACTGGAACTTAGGGAAAATAGACATCTGGGGAAGAAGTACCTTTAAGAGGATCTAGGATTTACTTTCTTAAAATCAACTCTAAATCCTCCATTATCACCCAGGAAACCAGCTGGCATATGCAAAACCACACTTAGACCTAGGCAACAGCAGCCACTTCTCTGGACCCTGTAACTGGAGTTTCTCCTTTTGCCCTCCTCTAATCACACCCACTTCACAGCACAAAGAGGCCACCTGATATGGTTTTGCTGCATCCCCACTCAAATCTCATCTTGAATTGTAGTTCCCATAATCCCCACATGTTGTTGGGGGGGACCCAGTGGGAGGTAATTGAATCATGGGGGTGGTTACCCCCATGCTACTGTTCTGTGATGGTAAGTGAGTTCTCACAAGTCCTGATGGTTTTATAAGGGGCTTTTCCTCCTTTTGCTTGGCACTTCCCCTTCCTGCCGTCATGTGAAGAAGGACGTGTTTGCTTCCCGTTCCACCATGATCATAAGTTTCCTGAGGCCTCCCCAGCCATGTGGAACTGTGAGTCAATTAAACCTCCTTCCTTTATAAATTACCCAGTCTCAGGCCATCCTTTATAGGAATGAGAATGGCCTAACGTACCACCCAAAGTCTGCACCATCATCACCCCACCCTGTCCACACTCTCCATGCCAGGGACCCAGAATCACTTGCCCAGGTGACTCCAGCCCACTTGTAGGATGTCCATGTGGTGCTCTCCAGCTCTGAGCTGCCTGAAAGGTAGGTAGCTGTGGGCAGAGGGTATGGATGGAGCTTGCACATGTCTGTGAGTGCATCCTCATGGGTGTGCACACTCACGTGTGGGTACACTAGCACACATGGCCCTTTGAAGTGTGTGTTGGAGTAAGGAGTGAAAGAGATGGGGAGGGACCATGGCCAGGGCCTGGGGGCCAGGAGCCAGCTCTTCCCATGCTCCCAGCACAGAACAAGAAGAAGTTCAAGAATTTTAAATGTAAGCCTGGCCTACAGAATGTTGGGAAAGTCTATTTGTCAAGGGGGAGGCTACACCATATTTCCCTTCACAGTGCTTTGGCTTGATTCAGAAATTTTATGTCTTTAGACATTTGATGCATGGGCCTCCACTTGTACTCTTGTACTTGTATTCTTGCCTTGCCCCCCATTAGGGATGGGCCGAGGTCCACTGCCCTCCTCCTGCATCACATAACTCTCATGTTATATGTGGCTTTTACTGCTTTCTTTTCCCCTCCTGAGTTATCCTTCATGTTTACTTCAATCTTTTTTCAATTTCATAAATATTGAAAGTGTGAATTGGGTGGGGGAAAGGGGGAAACACATTTAGTGTGATCTGCCCCAAGCCTGCACACCTGGAGGCCAGGTTCTGCTGCAACTTCAGAGTAAGGAGTTGATGTTTCTTGTCAAGATTATGGAAATCAGGGTAGAGTCTTTGCTTTGAGGTCAGGCAGCTTGTTTTCCTGCTAAAAAGCTACTTTGACCACCATTGTGGAAGAGCAATTGCAAAAATGGCTCTAATTATCCACTTCTCCACCCTTTCATTGCAATATGACTTTGTGGCTTCTCTCCTCCTATTAAGAGATGGGATGTATCCCCCTCTTACCTCAGACCTAGGCTGTCTGTGTGACTCACTGTGATGAATAGAACGTGGCAGAAGGGACACTGTGCCAGCCCCACGCGCGGGCCTCCAGGGGTGTTTCTGCACTTTTACTGTCTCTCAGACCCCCACTTCTGCTATGAAAATAAGGCTGAGCCAGACTGCTCCATGACAGGCCACATGAGGCAGCCAGGACCATCCCGGCCAAGGCCACCAGCAGCCCATCCAATGACTGCCCAGAGATGCATGGATGAGCTCAGCTGAAATGAACTAAGCTTGACCCAGGTCAGCAGAACCAGCCATCCAACACATACTCAGGAATGTCAGAAAGTCAACAAACCCAGATTTTATCGGTTACGTGGTCTTTCATGAAACTCCACTAACCTGCAAAGTGTTGTGTAAAATAAGAAATGTTTTCATATAAGTTCAGAAAATTCTAAGTTAACCTGGTTTAAAAAAGTTAAACCTGTTTTTTCCCTTCAAGACTTCTCAGAACTTTTAATACAGATCTAATCAGTATGCCTAACCAATGCAGGCACAAGAAACTCCATCAGATCTATGTGCAAAATCATGGCAAAAAAAAAAAAGTCAAGTCACTAATTAGGCCCTAATATGTGCATTTCCTGAAACGTGGATTAAACTGCATGATAATTCAATTCTTCCTCAACCTTGTCCTATTGGGATGGACAAGTTATCAAAATGAATCAATGGCACTAAAAGCACAGGCAACAAAAGTAAAAATAGATAAATTAGATTACATCAAAAGTTAAAACTGTGCATCAAAGGACACAACCAACAAAATGAAAAGGCAACCTACAGAATGATAGGCAGTATTTGCAATACATATTTGAAAAGGGAGCTAATATCCAGAATATATGAAGAATTCCTACAACGTAACAACAAAAAAACCCAAATAACCCAATTTAAAAATGGACAAAGGACTTGAATAGACATTTCTCCAAAGGAGATACTCAAATGGCCACAAAGCACATGTAAAAATGCTCAACATCACTAATCATTAGGGAAATGCAAATCAAAGTCACAACGAGATTTCACCTCACACCTGTTAGGATGGCTAACAAGGAAGGAAAGAAGGAAGGGAGGAGGGAGGGAGGAAGGGAAGGCAGGAGGGGAAGGAATAAAGGTAGAGAAAGAAAGGAAAAGAAAAGAAAAGACAGAAAGGAAGGAAGGAAGGAAGGAGAAAGAAAGAAAGAAAAAGAAAGAAAGAAAGACAGAAAGAAAGAAAGAAAAAAGGAAGGAAGGAAGCAAGTGAGGGACAGAGGGAGAGAAAGAAGGAAGGAAGGAAGGAAGGAAAGAAGGAAGGAGAAACTAGCAAGTGTTGGCAAGGACGTAGAGAAATTGGAACTCTTGTGCACTATTGGTGGAAATATAAGAAGGTGTAGCCACTGTGGAAAACAATATGGTGTTTGCTAAAAAATTTTAAAAAAAACTATTATATAATCCAGCAATTCCACTTCTGGGTATATAACAAAATGTATTGAAATCAGGGACTCAAAGAGATATTTGTATACCCATGTTCAAAGCCGCATTTTTCACAATGGCCAAAAGTGAAAGGAAACCAAGTGTCCATCAACTGATAAGTGGATAAACATAATATGGTACATACATACAATGGAACATTATTCAGCCCTAAAAAGGAAGGGACTCTGGCAATGCTACAACATGGATGAATCTTGAGGACATTATGTTAAGTGAAATAAGATACAAAAAAAATTTTATGATTCCATTTATATACGATATCTAAAGCAGTCAAAATTATAGAGGCAGCAGAAGGGTGATTGCCAGGGACTGGGGGTAGGTGAAAATAGGGAGTTGTTGTTTAATGGGTATAGAGTTTCAGTTTGGGAAGACAAAAAAGTTCTGGAGATTGGTTGCACCACAATGTGAATGTACTTAACAACACAGAATTGTAAAATTAAAAATTGTTAAAATGGTAAATTTTATGTTCTGTATATTTAATCACAATTAAGAAGAAAACAAGAAAAAAACTCATGATGCCAAGCAAAATATGTCAGCATGTTATCTCAAAACATCCACCTTAACCAGGAAAAAAAATAATTTTCTAAGTATCTTCAAGTGCAAAATAAGAAACAAGTAACTTTAAAAGATCAGTTAGTTATCAAATCTAACTCAAGGAGCTACCTGTAAAGTCATGCATTAGTAATTAAAAGCCAAATTATCTCATATTATTTCATAATGGCTCATTTGACCCACATGCCTGAATTGTCTGCCCTGCATTTGGGACCAATGAGGCAAGGAAAATAGAAAAGGGGCCCCTTTAAATAATGTGATTAGTAAGTGCATCATGGCATTTCAGGTGGCAAATTAATGAATCAAAATGTTTCTGTTGCAGGTTGATATATCTACAAATATTAGTAATTGGGCTCAATAATTGCATTGGCTAAAAATCCCTGAAGAAAAAGGCTTGAAAGAAACTTATTTGTTTTGCAAAGGAGTACCAAAGCAAACCACAGGTGATGAAATATTCAAAGTGATAAATGGAAGCACTGAAACAAATATTATCAGAACCCTGCATAAATCTGTGCCCAGATGATATAGCTACAATGACAGGGAGTGGTCAAGGTTGTACATCAAGAGTTCATTCTGGGAGGAGCCAAGATGGCCGCATAGGAACAGCTCTGGTCTACAGCTCCCAGTGTGAGTGATGCAGAAGACGGGTGAATTCTGCATTTCCATCTGAGGTACTGGGTTCATCTCACTAGGGAGTGCCAGACAGTGGGCGCAGGTCAGTGAGTGCGCGCACCGTGCACGAGCCGAAGCAGGGCGAGGCATTGCCTCACTCGGGAAGCACAAGGGGTCAGGGAGTTCCCTTTCCTAGTCAAAGAAAGTGGTGACAGATGGCACCTGGAAAATCGGGTCACTCCCACCCGAATACTGCGCTTTTCCGACAGGCTTAAAAAATGGCACACCAGGAGATTATATCCCGCACATGGCTCGGAGGGTCCTACGCCCATGGAGTCTCGCTGATTGCTAGCACAGCAGTCTGAGATCAAACTGCAAGGCGGCAGCGAGGCTGGGGGAGGGGTGCCCGACATTTCCCAGGCTTGCCTAGGTAAAAAAAGCAGCCTGGAAGCTCGAACTGGGTGGAGCCCACCACAGCTCAAGGAGGCCTGCCTGCCTCTGTAGGCTCCACCTCTGGGGGCAGGGCACGGACAAACAAAAAGACAGCAGTAACCTCTGCAGACTTAAATGTCCCTGTCTGACAGCTTTGAAGCGAGCAGTGGTTCTCCCAGCATGCAGCTGGAGATCTGAGAATGGGCAGACTGCCTCCTCAAGTGGGTCCCTGACCCCTCAACCCCCGAGCAGCCTAACTGGGAGGCACACCCCAGCAGGGGCAGACTGACACTTCACACGGCCGGCTACTCCCACAGACCTGCAGCTGAGGGTCCTGTCTGTTAGAAGGAAAACTAACAAACAGAAAGGACATCCACACCAAAAACCTATTTGTACATCACCATCATCAAAGACCAAAAGTAAATAAAACCACAAAGATGGGGAAAAAACAGAACAGAAAAACTGAAAACTCTAAAAAGCAGAGCGCCTCTCCTCCTCCAAAGGAACGCAGTTCCTCACCAGCAATGGAAGAAAGCTGGACGGAGAATGACTTTGACCAGCTGAGAGAAGAAGGTTTCAGACCATCAAATTACTCCAAGCTGTGGGAGGACATTCAAACCAAAGGCAAAGAAGTTGAAAACTTTGAAAAAAATTTAGAAGAATGTATAACTAGAATAACCAATACAGAGAAGTGCTTAAAGGAGCTGATGGAGCTGAAAACCAAGGCTCAAAAACTATGTGAAGAATGCAGAAGCCTGAGGAGCCAATGCGATCAACTGGAAGAAAGGGTATCAGCGTTGGAAGATGAAATGAATGAAATGAAGCAAGAAGGGAAGTTTAGAGAAAAAAGAATAAAAAGAAACAAGCACAGCCTCCAAGAATATGGGACTATGTGAAAAGACCAAATCTACGTCTGATTGGTGTACCTGAAAGTGACGGGGAGAATGGAACCAAGTTGGAAAACACTCTGCAGGATATAATCCAGGAGAACTTCCCCAATCTAGCAAGGCAGGCCAACGTTCAGATTCAGGAAATACAGAGAACGCCACAAAGATACTCCTCGAGAAGAGCAACTCCAAGGCACATAACTGACAGATTCACCAAAGTTGAAATGAAGGAAAAAATGTTAAGGGCAGCCACAGAGAAAGGTTGGGTTACCCTCAAAGGGAAGCCCATCAGACTAACAGCAGATCTCTCGGCAGAAACTCTACAAGCCAGAACAGAGTGGGGGCCGATATTCAACATTCTTAAAGAAAAGAATTTTCAACCCAGAATTTCATATCCAGCCAAATTAAGCTTCATAAGTGAAGGAGAAATAAAATACTTTACAGACAAGCAAATGCTGAGAGATTTTGTCACCACCAGGCCTGCCCTAAAAGAGCTCCTGAAGGAAGCACCAAACATGGAAAGGAACAACCGGTACCAGCCACTGCAAAATCATGCCAAAATGTAAAGACCATCGAGACCAGGAAGAAACTGCATCAACTAACGAGCAAAATAACCAGCTAACATCATCATGACAGGATCAAATTCACACATAACAATATTAACTTTAAATGTAAATGGACTAAATGCTCCAATTAAAAGACACAGACTGGCAAATTGGATAAAGAGTCAAGACCCATCAGTGTGCTGTATTCAGCAAACCCATCTCACATGCAGAGACACACATAGGCTCAAAATAAAAGGATGGAGGAAGATCTACCAAGCAAATGGAAAACAAAAAAAGGCAGGGGTTGCAATCCTAGTGTCTGATAAAACAGACTTTAAACCAACAAAGATCAAAAGAGACAAAGAAGGCCATTACTTAATGGTAAAGGGATCAATTCAACAAGAAGAGCTAACTATCCTAAATATATATGCACCCAATACAGGAGCACCCAGATTCATAAAACAAGTCCCGAGTGACCTACAAACAGACTTAGACTCCCACACATTAATAATGGGAGACTTTGACACCCCACTGTCAACATTAGACAGATCAACGAGACAGAAAGTCAACAAGGATACCCAGGAATTGAACTCAGCTCTGCACCAAGCTGACCTAATAGACATCTACAGAACTCTCCACCCCAAATCAACAGAATTTACATTTTTTTTCAGCACCACACCACACCTATTCCAAAACTGACCACATAGTTGGAAGTAAAGCTCTCCTCAGCAAATGTAAAAGAACAGAAATTATAACAAACTATCTCTCAGACCACAGTGCAATCAAACTAGAACTCAGGATTAAGAAACTCACTCAAAACCACTCAACTACATGGAAACTGAACAACCTGCTCCTGAATGACTACTGGGTACATAATGAAATGAAGGCAGAAATAAAGATGTTCTTTGAAACCAATGAGAAGAAAGACACAACATACCAGAATCTCTGGGACACATTCAAAGCAGTGTGTAGAGGGAAATTTATAGCACTAAATGCCCACAAGAGAAAGCAGGAAAGATCCAAAATTGACACCCTAACATCACAATTAAAAGAACTAGAAAAGCAAGAGCAAACACATTCAAAAGCTAGCAGAAGGCAAGAAATAACTAAAATCAGAGCAGAACTGAAGGACATAGAGACACAAAAAACCCTTCAAAAAATTAACGAATCCAGGAGCTGGTTTTTTGAAAGGATCAACAAAATTGATAGACCGCTAGCAAGACTAATAAAGAAAAAAAGAGAGAAGAATCAAATAGACACAATAAAAAATGATAAAGGGGAATATCACCACCAATCCCATAGAAATACAAACTACCATCAGAGAATACTACAAACACCTCTATGCAAATAAACTAGAAAATCTAGAAGAAATGGATAAATTCCTCGACACATACACTCTCCCAAGACTAAACCAGGAAGAAGTTGAATCTCTGAATAGACCAATAACAGGAGCTGAAATTGTGGCAATAATCAATAGCTTACCAACCAAAAAGAGTCCAGGACCAGATGGATTCACAGCTGAATTCTACCAGAGGTACAAGGAGGAACTGGTACCATTCCTTCTGAAACTATTCCAATCGATAGAAAAAGAGGGAATCCTCCCTAACTCATTTTATGAGGCCACCATCATCCTGATACCAAAGCCAGGCAGAGACACAACCAAAAAAGAGAATTTTAGACCAATGTCCTTGATGAACATTGATGCAAAAATCTTCAATAAAATACTGGCAAACCGAATCCAGCAGCACATCAAAAAGCTTATCCACCATGATCAAGTGGGCTTCATCCCTGGGATGCAAGGCTGGTTCAATATACGCAAATCAATAAATGTAATCCAGCATATAAACAGAACCAAAGACAAAAACCACATGATTATCTCAATAGATGCAGAAAAGGCCTTTGACAAAATTCAACAACGCTTCATGCTAAAAACTCTCAATAAATTAGGTATTGATGGGACATATCTCAAAAGAATAAGAGCTATCTATGACAAACCCACAGCCAATATCATACTGAATGGGTAAAAACTGGAAGCATTCCCTTTGAAAACTGGCACAAGACAGGGATGCCCTCTCTCACCACTCCTATTCAACATAGTGTTGGAAGTTCTGGCCAGGGCAATTAGGCAGGAGAAGGAAATAAAGGGTATTCAATTAGGAAAAGAGGAAGTCAAATTGTCCCTGTTTGCAGACGACATGATTGTATATCTAGAAAACCCCATTGTCTCAGCCCAAAATCTCCTTAAGCTGATAAGTAACTTCAGCAAAGTCTCAGGATACAAAATCAATGTACAAAAATCACAAGCATTCTTATACACTAACAACAGACAAACAGAGAGCCAAATCATGAGTGAACTCCCATTCACAATTGCTTCAAAGAGAATAAAATACCTAGGAATCCAACTTACAAGGGATGTGAAGGACCTCTTCAAGGAGAACTACAAACCACTGCTCAAGGAAATAAAAGAGGATACAAACAAATGGAAGAACATTCCATGCTCATGGGTAGGAAGAATCAATATCATGAAAATGGCCATACTGCCCAAGGTAATTTACAGATTCAATGCCATCCCCATCAAGCTACCAATGACTTTCTTCACAGAATTGGAAAAAACTACTTTAAAGTTCATATGGAACCAAAAAAGAGCCCACATCGCCAAGTCAATCCTAAGCCAAAAGAACAAAGCTGGAGGCATCACACTACCTGACTTCAAACTATACTACAAGGCTACAGTAACCAAAACAGCATGGTACTGGTACCAAAACAGAGATATAGATCAATGGAACAGAACAGAGCCCTCAGAAATAACGCCGCATATCTACAACTATCTGATCTTTGACAAACCTGAGAAAAACAAGCAATGGGGAAAGGATTCCCTATTTAATAAATAGTGCTGGGAAAACTGGCTAGCCATATGTAGAAAGCTGAAACTGGATCCCTTCCTTACACTTTATACAAAAATTAATTCAAGATGGATTAAAGACTTAAACGTTAGACCTAAAACCATCAAAACCCTAGAAGAAAACCTAGGCATTACCATTCAGGACACAGGCATGGGCAAAAACTTCATGCTAAAACACCAAAAGCAATGGCAAAAAAAGCCAAAATTGACAAATGGGATCTAATTAAACTAAAGAGCTTCTGCACAGCAAAAGAAACTACCATCAGAGTGAACAGGCAACCCACAAAATGGGAGAAAATTTTTGCAACTTACTCATCTGACAAAGGGCTAATATCAAGAATCTACAATGAACTCCAAAAAATTTACAAGAAAAAAACAAACAACCCCATCAAAAAGCGGGCAAAGGACATGAACAGACACTTCTCAGAAGAAGACATTTATGCAGCCAAAAAACACATGAAAAAATGCTCACCATCACTGGCCATCAGAGAAATGCAAATCAAAACCACAATGAGATATCATCCCACACCAGTCAGAATGACAATCATAAAAAAGTCAGGAAACAACAGGTACTGGAGAGGATGTGGAGAAATAGGAACACTTTTACACTGTTGGTGGGACTGTAAACTAGTTTGACCATTGTGGAAGTCAGTGTGGCAATTCCTCAGGGATGTAGAACTAGAAATACCATTTGACCCAGCCATCCCATTACTGGGTATATACCCAAAGGACTATAAATCATGCTGCTATGAAGACACATGCACACGTATGTTTATTGTGGCATTATTCACAATAGCAAAGACTTGGAACCAACCCAAATGCCCAATAATGATAGACTGGATTAAGAAAATGTGGCACATATACACCATGGAATACTATGCAGCCATAAAAAATGATGAGTTCACGTCCTTTGTAGGGACATGGATGAAATTGGAAATCATCATTCTCAGTAAACTATCACAAGAACAAAAAACCAAACACCACATATTCTCACTCATAGGTGGGAATTGAACAATGAGAACACATGGACACAGGAAGGGGAACATCACACTCTGGGGACTGTTGTGGGGTGGGGGGCGGGGGGAGGGATAGCATTGGGAGATATACTTAATGCTAGATGATGAGTTAGTGGGTGCAGTGCACCAGCATGGCACATGTATACATGTGTAACTAACCTGCACATTGTGCACATGTACCCTAAAACTTAAAGTATAATAATAATAAATAAAAAAAAGAAAAAAAAAAGAGTTCATTCTGAAAACCATGAGATGCAAATAATACATTGTTTTATTCACAGGGAAGCCCTCATATGAACAAGTTTGCCTATAGATCTGAATTTCACGTGAATGATACTATAAAAATGGTGAGTCTAATGAAATCCAAGCTGCATAGTCCCATCAGTTTTCAGCTTTATCTAAATAAATGGTATCATAACATCCATTTCTGATATTTCACAATGAAGTGCATTGGCTGGCCAGAGAAAGTATTGTGTCAGTAATCTATGAACAAAAGGAAGAATTGAAAATTGTTTTATAAATCATTCACACCATGCAGATAGACTAAAGAACAGTTAATGACTTTTCTAAATGGTTTAACTGACAATTTTGAGCATCTGATTGAAATTAATTAAAAATTACCAGAACTGCGTGAAAACATATAAATGTGTTTGACAAAGTTTATGCATTCAGGACAAAAATTTAACTTAGGAAAACTGAGGTTAATATGATTTACCAGTAATATTAATCAGGACTAACATATCAACTCTAAAAATGACTAGAGACCAATAGAGAAACATATGTGCAGGCTTAGGGAAAATTTCATCATTATTTAGAAATACTCAATATGATCAAGTTTGATTGTATTCTAAATCCATTAATATTATCATGACATTATATTTGTCAATAAAACAAAAGGCAGAGCTTCTAGTTTTAAAGAGTTATCTTACCCTTAAAATACAACTTAAAGAGATCAAATTATCTAAATTCCTACTAATGATGAGAGAGAAGTTTCCGCCAGTTGAAGAATAAGAGATATTATTGTGCCATTTGCTATCATGTATGTGTGCAAATAAACTTTATTTCCAGTGCTGACTATTAAGATCTTGGTTAAGATTTATATGCATTCATTTCAAACATAAAACCTGATATTAAAAAGTAAAGTCTGTGAAAGCAAGCTCAAGTTTATTAACTTTTTCAAATGCAATATATGTAAATATAAATCCCCTCCTGTTTACTCCAGTGAGTCACAGAAATAAAGTATCATCAGTTTCCATGTGTGCAGGGATGCAAAAAATGCTGGGAAACAGTGTTTTAATATATTATGTGCACCGTGCATATTCAAAAGGGTACTACAGTATGTAGCTTTTCCCAAACTTGCTCAGTCGTAGAACTTTTCTTGCATGTAACAATGGTTAATGTCTTGTGTTGCACTGGTGTTCCGTGGAACACAGTTTGGGAAAACCGATGCAATCTCAACTTATAATTACACAGCTTTCCAGACAGGGAAAGTGTATTGCCCAAGGTCATGGGGTAACACATATCTCTGCTTTCAAACCATTGCTGTCTTATACGACTTCCCCAAGGAGGCCATCTAAGTAGGATATGGAGAAACCCATCAACAAGTCCTTATTGTTTTTTTTTCTTAATGATGAACTTTCATCATTTTAACTGTAGCTCCATAGCAACTAGAGTTGCATTTATCCTGTGGTTTCCTGCCATTTGTTTTGGAAGCCTGTTCTCCTTTTGTATTATTAAGTTTATTATTAAGTCCCATGGCTGGTTTAGATTGTATACTTCCTTGTTTGTTCAGTCATCTGGCTAATTTGGCTCACCAGAGATAGTATTTTTCAAAGGCTTTCCTCTTCTTAAATTCATCCAGAAATTGGAAATCTGAACAGCCGTTACAGAGTTCCTCAGCCCTAAGATTACACAATCCCTAGGTGTGAGGTGGGGATCAGGCATCAGAATTTTCAGGCTTCAAATCTTCAATCCTGATCTTTAACTCTTTTCTTCTTATGCTTTACATAAGATTTTAAAGAGAAGGACGTATTCCATCCCTTGGCCCTTGTGACATGTGTCTGGGAGATGGAGTGGCAACAGGAAGTCTATTGAGCTGTGCTCCCTAAAAGGAAGGTGAAGACAGCAGGGCTGGGTTGGGGAGGATCTGGGCTGAGATGGAGATACAACCAAGGCTTCAACATACCCCATAGGGAGCTCCAAAGATGGGACTGCCTTTGTACGGGTCCCCAAGCCTTTGTACCTTTGCATCTTCCAGTCACTGAATGCTGGCTGGTCACAGGAAGGGGCATGAACTTGGGTGAGGCAGCTTTCTTCTGCTGAGGGTATATATAGGTGAGGGCTATAAACCAGCCGCTGCTGGGGGAATCAAGCCTTCATTCTTGCTGGGGACATGTGGATTTGGCAGTCCCACACAGTATCCACCATCACTGGAGAATTTCTCTTGACCTTAGTCCAACAACCCATCTCCTAATCAAACAATTACTAGCAAATATTTGGACCCCCATGCTACAGCTTGAGAAACCTAAGGCCTACCTTCCTCCCTAAGTGAAGGAAAGTAACACTAGCTGATGATGTTCAGTGTAGTCAAAATTCAGAAGACCTGGAAAACCTGGATGCTTTGCATGGCATAACCCATGTTTAGTTGGCTGGTGCCACTTACTGAGTCAGTTCCCTTGTCCCTTGCAATGTGCCCCCATGTATTTCTAGGAGATACAGGGTTATCTCATTTGGGCTTAGGTATCTCCTCCAGCCTTTTCCTCTGGGAACTGCTGCATTCACCAGGCACAGCTGTTGCCACCTCCAGAGTACTACAGCCCTCAGGGTATCAAAGCAGCTGGCTATGAGCCCTGGATACCACTTCACAAAGCATGCTGCACTCTCTCCCTCTTCGGGTTCATCATCTAAGTACTAAAGCTGTGCTGACCTGTGCCTCAGAGTCTATGTGATATTTCATGAAACAACTTTCAGCCTTTACTTCAGCTCTCCCTGCATGCTCCCTACTCTCCCAGCTCCACCACTGGACTCAGATTTCAGTCCTTGGGACTTGGCTAGGAGACAGGTCCAAGTGACAGTTGCTGTGCTGTGCTTCAGAGTAATGCAGTCTTTGGGTTTGGAGCCCAGCGCTGCTACTTACTGGGTGTTCTTAGTCAAGTTACTGCAACTCTCTGAGTCTCAGTTTTCTTATCTGTTAAATGGAAACTTGATACTTTCTACCTCAGAGTGTTGGTGGGAGAATTTTTTAAATTAACATATGTAAAGCGCTTAGAACAGTGTGCAGCACAGAGTAAGCATTCAGTAACAGCACTTCTTTTGAGAATTGGCCTCCCCTCCAAGCACCAGGCCACCCTTGTCTAACTGGCTCCCCTGGAGCTCCTGAGTTCCGTCAGCAGATTTCTGACTGGCCAGCCTGACTGTCTTGCTGTACTGGCCCCAGAGATGAAAACAGTGCAGTCCCAACAGGGACCCTGCACCTCATGGCACTTGCGAATGGACTTCTTTCAGTCTTTTTAGGCGGTGGGACCCTCCAGAGCTGGGCCTCTGGCCACCCATCCACCCCCACCACACAGGCCTCTGTAGCTTTAATTCTGCCCAAGTTGACCCCTTGGGAGAGCTCAGCAGACCTCAGCAGCACCTCTGACCTTGTGACATGGGAGCTCCACCCCAGCTCTGTGGCCTCCCAGACAAATGAGAAGGCACCCGGAGCCCCAGGTGACTTGCATCTGTTTCTCTCTCCCAAGGCCACAGGACAGCAACACCACATCTCTCTTCTCAATCCCCCTTCCCTTTGCCTCATCATTGCTTGTGCAGTGCAGTGCATGTCTCTGGAGACAGAGCAGAGAGCAGGTTTCCCACTGCCCCGGTACCTTCTCCACTGGAGCCCTTGGTTAGGAGCACCTGCTTTGAGAACCTGCCAAGACATGCAATCCCCCTCACACACAAAGAGGCCTCTGTGGGCTATTCTCAACTGCCTGTCCTCTGACCAAATTTCAGCCCAGATTCTGTTCCTGGCTGACCTTGGCCAAGTCATTTTACTTCTCTGGACCTGGCTGGGTTACTTATCCCTGAAATATGGGAGGCGAGTAAGATGATCTCATTGGCTCCCTCCAGCTCTAACAGTCATGAATCCGTCACTGAGGGAGAGCAGCGAGTGGAGGTATACTCATCAGAAGCATGAGTTCCAGTCCTGACTTTGCCACTCCCTCTCCATGTGGTTTTTAGCAATCCCTTTAAGCCTTAGTTTCCTCATCTTTGAAAAACAAACGAAGGTCCCAGCCTAACAACAATAATGCCAGTCCTTATTGAGACATGTGCTGAGTGCTTTACATACAATATCCAAATCATCCTCCAACAATCCTATGGTACAGGTATTACTATCCCCACTGTACCAATAGGTAGTCTGAGCTGTCAAAGTTAAGCAAATTGTGCAAGGTTGCAGAGTTAGAAAGTGTGTCAAGTCAAAGTGCATCAGGAATCCAATCTAGGACCATCTGCCCGTGCTCTGAATCACTATACACTGTAGCCCCCATGAGGTCTGACAAAGGCATCAACATCAAAGTATTTTGTACACCATAGCTCATTATTTGTCTCTCTTTGCATTCACCCAAAAAGGATCCTGAACTTAAGCAACAATTCTTATTGTTGAGCATAATAGTGTGTGTGTTTATATACACACATACATGCATACACACATGACTTGCATAGAATGAAGTGTGCAGATTTTAGGGGTACAACTTGGTGAATTTTTATGTATGCCAGCTGTGTTACTACCACTCTGACCATAATGCAGAACATTTTTAGCTTCCCAGAAGGCTCCCTCACATCCCTCAGAGTCAATATCCTACAAAGGGTAACTACTATTTTGACCTCTTATTACTATAGGTTATTGCTATCGTTTTGCCTGGTTTTGAACCTCATATAAGTGGAATCATCAGCAAACTTTCACTTAACACTGTTAAGCAGTAAGTTGTTTCTTACCCATTTTATTGTTGATGGACATTCGGATTGTTTCAGGTCTTTGTCTATTATGAATAACATAGTTATGAGCATTCCCATTCATTTAGCTATTATGAATAAAGCAGCTATAAGCATTCTTTTTTTAACTTTCATTTTAGGTTCAGGGGTACGCGTGCAGGTTTGTTACACAGGTAAACTCGTGTCATGGGGGTTTGTTGTACAGATTATTTCATCACCTGGTATTAACCTTAGTACCCAATTTTCTCTGCTCCTCTCCCTCCTCCCACTCTCCACACTCAAGTAGTCCCCAGTGTCTGTTGTTCCCTTCTTTGTGTTCATGAATTCTCATCATTTAACTCCCACTTATAGGTGACAACATGTGGTATTTGGATTTCTGCTCCTGCATTAGTTTACTAAGGATAATGGCCTCTACCTCCATCCATGTTCCAGCAAAAGACAAGATCTCTTTCTTTTTTATGGCTGCAGAGTAGTCCATGGTGTATACGGACCACATTTTCTTTATCCAATCTCTCATTGGTGGGCATTTAGGTCGATTCCATGTCTTTGCTATTGTGAATAGTGCTGCAGTGAACATTCACAAGCATGTGTCTTTATAGTAGAATGATTTATATTCCTTTGGGCATATACTCATTAATGGGATTGCTGGGTCGAATGGTATTAGGTTGGTGCAAAAGTAATTGAGGCTTTTGCACCAACCTAACAGTTTTGCTTTTAGCTCTTTGAGGAATTGCCATGCTGCTTTCCACAATGGTTGAACCAATTTACACTCCCACCAACAGTGTATAAGTGTTGCCTTTACTCCACAACCTTACCAGCATCTATTATGTTTTGACCTTTTAGTAGTAGCCCTTCTGACTGCTGTGAGATGGTATCTCATTGTGGTTTTGATTTGCATTCTTAATGGACATGAACACTCATTTTTACTGGTTGTACACCTACGAATGAAATTGCTGGATGGTACATTACATCTATGTTTAGTTTTAATGATGACTGTCAATAGTTTTCCAAAGGGGTTGTAATAATTTACATTCTCACATATGAGAGTTCTAGTTGCTCCACATCCTTACTAATCATATTTTCAGTCCTCCTAATTTTAGCCGTTCTGGTGGGTGTAGTGGTATCTATTGTGGTGTTAATTTGTCTTTCCATGATGAGTACTTGTGTCGAATCCATTTCCATATGCTACTGACCATTGGATATCCTGTGTTATGAAGTACCTGTTCAAGTCTTTTGCCTACCCTTTTATGAAGTTAAGTTGAATTATCTACTTTGTATTTTGATTTATAGAGTTTCTTTAACTATTCTGTATGTGAGTTCTTAGGTATCTATTCAGTGAATACCATCTCCCAGGCTATGACTTGCATTTTCACTCTGCTAATGGTATGTTTTGGAGAATACAAGTTCCTACCATCAATCTTCTTTTTGTGGCTGCTGCATTTTTTGTCCTGTTTGTCTACCCCAAGATTATGAAAATATTCTATGTTGTTCTTCTAGAGACTGTATTGTTTTTACCATTTGTATTTATATCTACAATATGCCTGAAATTACTTTTGGAGGTAACGGGTCAAGGTTCTTTTTCTTTTTCTTTTTTTTTTTTGGATGTGGATATCTAATTGACCCAGCACCACTTATGTAAAAGACAGCCCTTGCCCCCATAGAATTGCAGTGGCACCCTTGACTCAGATCAGGTGACTACATATGTGTAGGCCTATCTCCTAATTCTCTATTCTGTTCCTTTGGTCTATTTGGCTATCTTTGCCACTACCACATAAGAAATTTTGGTAGCTACTAGTATAAATATTCCAGCTTTGCTCTTTTTCTCTAAGATTTACCTTAGCTAGTCTAGATCCTTTTAGTTTCCATATGACTTCTAGGATCAGTATGTAAATTCCCCCCAAATAAATCTGCTAAGATATTTTTTGCCCTTATTCTTAGGGTATGGTCCTTACTTCTAAGTGTGACCTTTCCAGGGGCTCTATTGAAAGCCCGGGGTATTTACAAAGGCCCTCCACCTTGGCAGAACTTGAACTCCAATCTTTGTGTCCCTAGCACCACCCAAGAGCTGAACACTCTACTTCAGCTTGTTCTCTTCCTGGTGGTTATTTTTGTTGGCGTTCCCTGAGCCACTGCATGCAGTTTAGAAGTCAGCAACGACTTGAGGGGATTGGTGTGCAGATCTCGGGGGCTCCCTCCTTGCAGTTTCCTCTTCCCCAGGTTTTTCACTCTCCAATCCCAATCACTTTGGAAACGCTAACCTCCATCTCCTTAGCTCAGCAAGATATCACTCTGCTGGGGCTCTAATCTCAATAGAAAGAGCCAAGATGGGCCAGGGGTGGTGGCTTATGTCTGTAATTCCAACATTTTGGGAAGCCAAGGTGGGAGGATCACTACAGGCCAGGAGTTTGAGAACAGCCCGTGAAACAAAGCAAGACACCCATCTCTACCAAAAACAACAACAACAAAACAAAACGAACAAAAAAATGTTTTTTTTAAATTAGGGTGGTGCATGCCTGTAGTCTCAGCTACTCTGGAGGCTGGGACAGGAGGATCACTTGAGCCTAGGAGTTTGAGACTCAATCATACCTCACTGCAAACTCCCAGAAGTTTGAGGCTACAGTGAGCTATGATTGTGCCACTGCACTCCAGCCTAGGTGACAGAGTGAGAATCTGTCTCAAAATGAAAGAAAAGAGAAAAAGAAAAGAAAACAGAAGAGAAATGAAAAGGAAGAAAACGAAAAGAAAAGAAAAGAAAAAGACAAGAGCCAGGGAGAATGTGAAGCTTGCCTTCTCTCAAAGATCATGGCAGCTCAAGTCTTGCCTGCCCTGGTTTCTCTCAAATGCCTTTAATCAGTTAGGTATTTTGTCCAGCTTTTACAGTTGTTTGAGCAGGTAGGAGTTAGTCTGATACAAGCTACTCTGTCATGACTAGAACCACAATGGTAGTTTTAGTTGCTGGTTTCAATCAAATGTTTGGCCATCTGGAAGGTGTCTGAGTTGTGACATCATGGTGCAGTTTGGCACTTGAACCTCTAAGCAAATGTTTGCCTCTCAGGCTTTTTCTCAGCTCTCATTCCATCACCAACAATCAAATGCTTACAGGGAAAATGAGAGTGAGCCTTTGTCTCGGTTGATGACCCATACGTGGCCGGGCTCACCAGGACACACCTGTAAAGTGGTCAGATTGCACTTTCTTGTGGAAGCCAGTGCTAACACTCACTGTGTTCCCCCACATAACCACTCCTCTCACTTATCAGCGTCCTCTCCATTAGGATCCACTCTGCCTGGTGCACACATTGACTCTTGGTTACCTTTGATTCCTCCCAGTTCCCTCCCATCTCATCAGCTGTCTGGGCCTGAGAGGTTTTCTACCAGTGTTTCCTCTCCCT
The DNA here is from genome assembly GCF_000001405.40 of Homo sapiens. Classification (NCBI taxonomy): domain Eukaryota; kingdom Metazoa; phylum Chordata; class Mammalia; order Primates; family Hominidae; genus Homo; species Homo sapiens. The sequence continues at coordinate 223,461,174 of NC_000001.11, forward strand.
TGTTTCAGCTTTACTGTGGCTCATCAGTGCAACTGTAACACCGAAGACCCAGCAGACCCCTGCTTCCTCCCTCTCCTGCACATGAAAGCCCCAGATGTCAGCCTCAACACGCATCCCTCATTAAATCCTCCAATCCTTCTCTGTTGCTGCCTGAATAAAGTGCAGGTTCCTTGGCCTGGTGTTCAAGGCCTCCTTCCCAAGGCACCCCAGCTTGCCTTTCTTACCTATTTCCCACGTCCCTCCGACCCAGCCTTACAGTCGATTGCCCCACCTAAAACAAACCATTCCCTGTTTTCTTAACACGCCTTACACTTTCTCACCCTTTGCCTCTGCCCATGCTGTGCCCACCTTCTGGAAATCCCTGACCCCGTCTCTTCCCTGTCCTTCAATGTGGCTTTTCCCACAAATCTCTTACTCAGCTCATTTAAATGTGGTGTTGTTATTCACCCATCATTAAGCCACTGTAACACTGAATATCTATCTTTCTAATGCCAGTCTACCTTGCATTAAAATCATTATCATAGGGTGGGAACAATGTCATCCCCCACACCCCATAACCTATGCCAACCCAACACAGGGCCTTATGCATAGCAGCTTCACAATGAACATTAGAAGACCGGATTGGTAGAATAGAAACAATGGCTTAAGCATACCCCCTCATCTCTGCAGTCCTGGCAACATGCACACATTTAAGGATGGACCCTAGAGTCCATGGAGGGGTGTATTTTATTGGGAGGTTGTAATAGGTGGGAGACTTGGCAGAATTTAACTTGGGAAACCAGAATTCACATCTTAGCAGATCTAAGTAGAATAGAATGATTCAGGCCCTTGACCCTTCCAACTGGCCACCACCACTACACGGTACAGAATTCCAGATGGTTCCTTAAAGGGTTTTCAGTGGCCCTTGTCCATATTACCCATGTGTCCCTCATGTCTGCCCCTCCTTTGTGGGAAGAGTCCAGGAGGCCCTGGGAGACAGGTCCACCTCCACTTACCCACACTTAGTTTCTGGCTCTGCAAAACAGACAGGCACAACCCCTCCCTGTACCCAGTTCCACACGCCCACCTGTTGTCCTGTCGCATGTTAATAAAACCATGTCTTTTTTAATACCCCAGCCATCACTTCCAGACTCAGCTCTAATTATTTTAACCACCACAAAACCCTCTTCAACAAAAGAGCAAACCAATTAATTTTCCCTTATCTGAGGTGAGGTCATTATGGATTCCTCCAGGAAAGACAAGCTCTGGGTATTGGGAAAGAAAAGGGATTTTAGGACTCCATTGTCATGTCTAATCCTCCTGCTCAAATGAAGCTTGTTTTCTTGTCCAACAAACAGGTATTTACTTGGAACTTAAAGTCATTTGAGCACAGGGTCCTCCGGCAGAATTGCAATGGTGATAATTATTCAACTGCACTTCTGTGTAATTTACTGCTCTGTGCAGCGCGTGCATGCAGGCAGGCCCAGAATGCAAATGATATGATTGCTTTCATTAAATCATCTTTTTATGACTGTATAATTTCAGTAATTAAAACCTTTACTAATATATTCTATGAAGCAGGCAGAATGTTACACTAATGTATGGCCCTTATTAATTTTTGAAAAACAGGGGTGAAATTTGAATAATCTGCTTCCTCACACTTAAGAGCTCCGGAAAGAAAAAAAATACAATTTTGATTAATGTAAACTAATTAGCATTCATTGTTTTTTATTCCCTCTTCCTTACCTGAAAAGTCACTGCAGAGGGTATTAGCATTGCCTATTGCATATTTCAAATCTTATCTTATTTCTGGCATACCTTTGGGTTTTTTGCCAAAAAAGAACGAGGGAGTTTGTAGGTCTTTAATCACTGCAGTTACAGAGTGAGAAATTGAACATCATCTGCTACTCTCATGGTACAAAGGGCTCGGCAAGTTCTCTAGTGTGGCTCAGCAGACATGACTATAGGCCTCAGAAAGTTCTAGGAGCTCTTGTTTTCCCCCAGCAAAACCTTCCTATCTCCTAAGGAATGTTGGCTGTGCTTGATTTTTTAACATACCTGTGGGCACAGGATCACGTGCATGCCTGTGCACACACAGGCTCAACCAAACACAGAGCTTCTCCTTGGTTGCTGTTACTGAAAGATTAGTAGGAACTAAAATTTGGAATACAAATAGTTCCAATTAGATCTCAAAGCAAGCTTCATGCCCTGTGTTCATCTTCCCCATAGCCAGGTCAAATGTTCATGCTTTATAGTAGCAGCTTCAAAAAGCACACTGGGATGTACAATGGCTGAATTTAATTTAAGTCTTAGTTTAAGAAATAGCTCCTCTATCTGTAATGCATGTACTAGTGTCCCTTCTGAAAAAGGATAATTTCCAATATGGAACTCAAATTTCATTACAAGAAACTCCAAAGGGGATAGTCTTCTGTTTGCAACAAACATTTAAGTAAGCAAGTAATTAGCTAGTTTGCACATCCAGGTATTAGTCAGAAATAGGTATTTTTGACATCCAGATTTTGTTATACTGGTGTGTGCTGCAATTCAGTACCTATCATCGCTAATATCAGCGTTTTTCAACAATTTTTTTTGAATTTCAAATATGGCCAAACTCCACGCTGAGCTCAGGATTCATAGCCATCCATGGCTCCCCATTGTCTTACAAAATAAAGTCCACTATTCCTTTTTTTTTTTTTTTTTTTGAGACGGAGTCTCGCTCTGTTGCCCAGGCTGGAGTGCAGTGACATGATCTCGGCTCACTGCAAGCTCTGCTTCCTGGGTTCACGCCATTCTCCTGCCTCAGCCTCCCGAGTAGCTGGGACTACAGGCACCCGCCACCACACTCGGCTAATTTTTTTGTATTTTTACTACAGACAGGGTTTCACCATGTTAGCCAGGATGGTCTCGATCTCCTGACCTTGTGATCCGCCTGCCTTGGCCTCCCAAAGTGCTGGGATTACAGGCGTGAGCCACCGGGCCTGGCAAAGTCCATTATTCTAAGACCTCTATGATCTGGCTGCAAACCTACCTGTCTTGGCATTATCTTCGCTGCTCGCCAGCATTTGCTCTTGGGTCTGCTTGCTGCTTCTGATACACACGTTGTACTTAACCACCTCTGCTGCTCTTGGCGCTCTCTCCTCCTATTAAAAGGCCTTGTTCCCTGGTCTCTGCATGTCTAAATCATCTCCTCCTTAAGACCCAGCACAAATGTCTTCTCCTCTTTGAGGCCTTACCATTGTTATCTATGTATTTATGTCTGTGTCTCACAGGTACTGGGTGCATGGGAAATAAAAGTTGTCTTATTATGCAAATTTTGACTGAGGAACTGACCCCTAATAAAATTAGTCCCACTTGACCCTGGTTAACACCAGCACTCGCCCTACTCAGCCTCTGCTGATCAGTTTTTCCCTGATGGACGGCTGCCACAGACAGCTACAGTATAATGCACAATACAATGCAAATTGATTGCATAGTTCAATGATGGATCTTGGGAAAGATAAGGAATTTCATGAAGTCAATAAAAGTGACGTTGATCTCATGATAAGTCACTGACACATAATAGTTGAAGAAGAGATTATCAAAGAGGATGATAACTCTGAGTTTTAGAAAACAGTGAATTGAATACCAAACAATTAGGAGAGGCTCTTGAAAAATGAATAAAGCCTTCAAGTATTTTTGGGGAAAAGACAGCCCTTTTGATCAATCTGTGAAAGTCAAAAGTGAGGTGAAGAAGGTTGTCTTATGCGAAACTTACACAGTTTTGACTGACAGTTATGAAAAAAAATCTCTAATCAACCCTGGATTCAGTTTTCATTCATTCTAAAAATGGGTGAAAATGTGTAATTATAACTTAATTTGTGTTAAATCAAAAATAGAATAATCTTATTCATAGTTTTTACTTTATCAAGACAAAGTCCCAATCAAAGTGTTGTCATGCCATTTGCTAGTAAATGCCACCATTTTCATGAGCTTTTCTTATCACCAATTATCCTTGGATAACAAGGACCTCTGATGACATCTCTTCTCTCTCTGAGTAACCTTTCATCTTTATCTGCACCTCTCATCTATGCACTTATATCAGTGATTTATGAACCAGTATCATCTCCTCACCAGGCTGAGGCAAGACCTGTGCTTTATTAATTGGAAGCTAAGAGGGGCCTTTGGTGTCAGGCTGCCTACAATGAAGACTCAGCTCCACCTCCTTCAGGCTGTGTGACCTTGGACAAGTTCCTTGCCCTTTCTGTTCCTCATTTATAAAATGGGGACAATACAAATATATACCTTATGAGGTTCTTTTAAAGACTAAATTATATAATAGACATAAAAGTGCTTGAAAAATGTCTAGCATATGTTACTTTCTCAATAAATACCAACTATCTTTAATTTTATTATTTCCATCCCCTGAAATGCCTGGAGGGAAACAACTTTTACCAATTCCTAAAGGTTTCTCTCACATGGAAACGTAAGACTCCTATCATTGTCTTCTGCCCTGCAATTTGCTTAACCGTAGGCAGGAAATGTGATTTTATTTGATTAGTGATTTGGGGAAGAACAAACTGTGCATACTTGCCTGGGCCCAGCTCCTTCCTTTTTCCTCCTGGGAGTCAGGGGCTCACTGATACATCACTGGCTTTGCTTTTGGGAGGGGGCCTGGGGACACCCAGCACCTTCTGCAACTAGGTATGTTTGATAAGCCCATTTGCTCTTGCTACAAGATACATCTTTCAACCAAGATTTGATCAGTAATAATGGTCATATTTTGGTCTCCATCAGCCTTGCCATTGTTCATCTTATTTTTCAATTAGTTCAGAACTGGAATGCAGAAAAAAATGTTGTTTATGGTGGGGCAGAGTCTCTCTAAGATTCGTGGCTGGTATTTCAGTTACTGTTTGCCGGATAAATGAATAAATACAGGCATACATTCTAGATTCCAGTTTTGCTTCTCAAAACATTATTTTTCTGATAAGAAGGACTACAAGATAGCAAGCAAAACTTTTATTGTGTTTAGGTCCAATAAGTCCTATTAAAGGATTAGTAGAACATCTATCAAACATGCTTCTGTGTGCAACTGAGGATCACCCAAAGGGAAAAATAATAATATTGAAAATACAGTAGCTGGTTCCTAAGTCTCTTTTCCAATTGTCATTTCAACTCAAAGACCTAGAGATGCCAGCTCCCCATCTGTTGCCTCAAGGATGCCAGCTCTGAGCATACAATATGCTTCAGATCTGACATTTTCTGGCCAAAAATCTGCTTCATGAATAAAGAGACCAGTGAAACGGTCAGCCCCTGCTTGTGGTTTGATCATTATTGACATTTTATGTTTATAAAACTTCTTTCTCTCATTGGAACTAGCTCTGTTTCTCTCTCAGACACTGCATTATTCCTTCTACATGATCCTCACCCAGCCTGGTGCTCCTCATTGCCCACTGTCCCCCATACCAGGCTCCTGACACCCTAAAGCCAAGGCCAGAAAGAGCCCCCAGCCTCCACTCCTGGTGCTGCTCTGAGCACCTGTCCTTCTGGTTGTTGGCAGGCTGTGGCGGGGGTGCCACCTCTCCAGGTTGCCTTTCTCAGATTCCTTCTGGTCTGCTGGCCCCTTCCAGGCTGACTTCTGACAGCACCCTTTACAAACCAGCCCAGCCCACATCTGAGCTCTGTGCCTGGCCTGCCTGGCCCACTGCTGACCCTGGTCACCAGACTCCTAATGCCTCAGCCAGTCCTGTCTGTCTTCTCTGGCTATGCATTGCCAGAGACGCCTGGCCCTGGGGCTTATTGTCCTCTTGTCCTGCCTAGTGCCCCTTACTCCCCAGGGACACCCATGCCCACCAATAGCCTCCTATACAGCAAGCTCTCTCCCTAGTGAGATGGTCTTCCGGGTCCAGTGGTGCCTCATGGAAGGATCATTTTGTCCCTCTGATCATCCTACCACCAGCCTTCTCCAGCTCATCCTTAGGTGTGTAAGAGAATGATCTGTTTCAGCCTCGCTTTGTCCCTGGCCTGTGCTCAGCTGCACTGCCCCCGTCAGGAGCCCACCCTGAGCAGGTCAGGGAGTGTTAACAACCTCATCCCCCCATGATCAGTGGGCTCCAGCATCCGTCTTGTTCTCCAGGCTCCAGTTCTGAGCTGTGAGTGCTTCCTGAGTCAGGCCTCCCCGTCCCTACTTCCCATGTGGGCCTCGTCTAGGGATTACAGGTAAGTGCTCTATCTTATGCCAACCCCTATCTGCTGGTAGTGGCTGCCTAGACTGTAATGTTCAGACTGTTCCTGGGATGATCAGGAAAGAATGAAATGATCAATTAGTGATGTCTACTGTGGCAGCAGCAGTGGAGAGGGTCTATATGTGGAGTGTTTGTCATCCATTTGACATAGCTTCTACCTCAGTTTCCCTAAGTAGCTCATATCCTCTTCTGATTCTTAAAGTCCAGCCTGATCTCTAGCTCACCTCACTGGAGCCCCAGTCCCTTCCATCTGTCCTGGGGAAGTGACCTAAGTGCCTGTCCCTCCCACCCCTGGCTAGGCCCCTGCCCTCAGGGGACTGATCTTGGAACCATGTCACAGTCACTGTGTGCCCACCCTCAAGTATTCTGGCATGTTCCTCCCCCCTACCACCATGTCCCACTGCAAAACTTGACACTGATTCAAAACCATATCTGGATACCACTTTATACCATTCAGAGGGTGAGAATCAAAAAGTCAGATAATAACCTACGTTGTCGGGGATGTGGAGAAATCAGAACTTTCATGCTCTTCTGGTGAAATATACAAAGGTGCAGCTGCTTTGGGAAAGATTCTGGCAGTTTCTCCAATGACTAAACATGGAGTTGTCATATGACCTGGCCATGCCCCTCCTAGGCATGTACCCAAGAGAAGTGAAAACATATGTCTACACAAAGACTTGTACACAAAGGTTTGTAGCAGCATTGTTGAGAACCAAATGATAGCGACAACCCAAATGCCCAACAATGGACAAATGGATGAAAAAGAATTTGCTATATCCATAAGAATAAAATACGACATACGCTGCAGCTTAGATGAACCTTGAAAACATTATGCTAAGTGACACAAACCAGTCATAAAAGACCACATATTGTATGATTCCATGTATACAAAAGTCCAGAATTTGGAAATCTATAGAGACAGAATGTAGATTAGTAACTGCCCAGGGCTGGAGAAGGAATGAAGGGGCAGGGTGGGGAAGTGTTGTTGATAGCCAAAGAATACCAGATTTCTCTTTCTGGTGATGAAAATGATCTAAAATAGACTGGTGATGGCTGCACACATCTGTGAATATACAAAAAGCCATTGACTTGTACACTACAAATGGGTGAATTATGTTGTACATGAATTATATCCCAAGAAAGTTGTTTTAAAAAAGAAATAAACAGGCCCTGGTGCTAACATCTGCATAACCCAAGTCTGGGGTACTGGTGGGACCCTGTCTGCCCTGGACTGGGTTGCATCTCCTACTTTATGCCTGAGGGACTTTTGCACTCAACACCATCCAACTCTAACCTCAGTTCTCAGGAGTGCAAATACAGACACAATCATAAAACACAGCCACATAGAGCTGAGAATGGATTCCATGACCTTGGGAACAATGAGGACTATCAGAGCTGATGTTCCTCTCCTGTTGGAAATGCTCTTGCAACTGCTTCCAATGAAGGCCTTGGCTAAGCCCAGTGGCTTCACTCCCTCCCCAACCCCAGTCTCCTCGAGAGGATCCACCCAGAGCCCCTCCCTGGTCCTGCCCATTGGCTCCCACCTTGTTTGTCTAGTGCTGGTCACCCTGAGGGGTCTCTGCTGTCTCAGAGACCCCTCAGCCAAGCCATTCCCAGCAGCCCCTCTTCCTCCCCAGCCCTTCAACATGGCCACCAGCCAAGGATGTCTGTCTTCATTTGAGTAGACTGGAAGTTACAGAGAAAAAGAAGTGGGGAGGTGAAGACATTCCAAAGATTTAGAGCTGTGTTTCCCATACTTATTTTTCATCATCACTCCCCTAGGAACTATTTCAGACATTTTTATCTGGCTGTCAAGGTCCCAGCCTCCCATAAAGTTTCAATACCACAGATGTACTACATATCTGTTTAGGGACCATAACCCTTTGGAGGGCCACAAAACATTGGCTCTTTTTGACCCCCAAGAACTGATTTTGTCCCCTAAGGAACAATATCCCCACTGTTAAGAATGTAAGATATTGTAGAGGGGTCTCCTGGGACTCAAGGCCACAGGGGTCGTAGGCCTGAGGAAGAGGCCATAAGAAGAAGAAAACGCACTTCTGCTTCTCTCCTCCCACCCTACCTTATCTGTTTACCTGCCCAATTCTTCTCTCCGTTTCTGCAAAGTCACTTTCTTTGCAATGCAGACACATGGAGGAAACCTTGCTCGTTTCTCCCCAGTATTTACATTCACTCTGTTCAAGGATCCATCCCAAACAGAAGCTGGAATCCTTTAGCCTTGATCCCATATGCTCATGGAAGGAATTCCCCTAGCCAAGGTCAGAGACTGTGTCCACTCCTGAGACAATCAATAGGGCCAGTGGGCAGGGTCATTTTGTGCAAAAACATCTGCTAGCAATCTGTCACTGCTACCAAGTGGACAGAGAAAAGCAAGTCCTAAAGGAGGGACATGATGCTGCCTTAGAACCCAGTTCCTCCTGACACTGGTCTTTTCATAGACCCCTTCAAAACCTCACTTGGGTTTTGGCTTCGTTTCCTCCACCCACTCAGGCCTGGGCCTCTCCCAGACACCCTCAAGTCAATTCACAATCAACAGGGGCCTGGAGGGCTGTTGGCTCTGACACAAGCAGGGCCTGGTCCACGGCTGAGCTTGGCCAACTGCCTGTCTTTCCTCTCTGCTAATGGTCAGTGGCATCATGTGGATTTCATCTTCTCTCTCCAGCCCCAGCTCTGAATCTCTGATGTAAGCCATTTCCTTCTGGCAGATTCCTAAAGACCAGTCCTGACCTCTCCCAACCCACTCTGCACAGGTCCCTTACAGCCAACTGTCTTTCATGCCCAGATGTTGGGCTTGTCTTTTACCTGCATGTAACCTTTGTGCTGCCCACCAACCCGCAGCTGTCCTTGCCTTCAAAAATACAACCTGAAAGCAACTACCCTTTCCTAAAAGTTTCCCCATATCCACCCTCCATATCAGTAACACCTTTGACGCATACATATCACTCATTATCTCCTGAGGTGAACACTCTCACCTTCTCTCCTCTGCTTGACTGTCCCTCCCGAGGGGTGTCCCATGCTCAGGTGGCTCCACACGCCTGGCACCCACTGCCCTGTGGTGCTCTCCTTTTGTCCTGATTCTTTCAGGTCACCATGCTTTCCAAGGGGCCACAGCTGCAGGTAGTTTGCAGAGAATTTGAGCAAAATGTCCTCCAAGCCAGAAACTGGTGAGACGGTAAGAAATGCCAGGAAGTACATGAACAACTCAGTTCTTTCATCCCAGAGAGGTGGTAGCTGTGCACTTCATCATATTCTGAGCTCTCAAAACCTTGATACCCCAACTTGAATGGGAAAAGTGGGCCCTTCCCAGCAGGGGTGCCGATGCTCACTTGTCTCTTAGTTTTTTATATTCAGTTTGTAGGAGCCAGTGGAAGCTAAGCAGCAGTGGGAGGTGGAAACAGATGCAGTCACCTTTAGAATTAAGTTTTAGCAAAGTAGCCCTTGCCTGCATAGCCAGGCAAAAATGGTCATGATCAGATAACAGCAAATCCTTCCTTCCACCCCAGCTTCACAAGTGCTGTCAGATTCACAGGCAGCTACGTCTTCTCATGAGGGGAGCAATAAATGGAACATGTGCAAAATGATTTTATCAAGAGCCTCTCAGATGATGGCCACAGAGGACGGGACTCCAAGATGTGAGTTGAAGCCCACCCTTAAACTTTCAATGTGAGGGCAACCCCTTCCTTGTCCTCCCAGTCTCTGCCGCATCTCCTGCCTCTGTTTCTCTCCCTTCTGCCTCTGCACACCGCCTTCGTCTGCTCTGTCTTCATCTTGGTAACCCCCCTAGGTACCTCTCAATGTGGCTACCTGGCCCTCAAAATGCCCCCTTCTCTGGGAAGACACCTAAAACTCAAGGTGAGCCCCCAGGAATTATTTCTGCCCATGTGATCTTGCCCCTGGTTGGAACTGATTGTCCCAAGGGTAGACACCTGACCCAAGTTGAGCCAGCCGGTTTCTCATGCAAATTTGAACTCAGAAAGGGAAGACACAATGAATAGTTTAGAACGTTAGTGGCAGCCCAGGAGATCCTACTGCTCTGTGTCTCAAGCTGTCTCAGTTCCTTTCTTTCCTGGGTCAGCTGGAATTATTTAACCTTACTAAACGTTTGCTTAACAGTTAGAGTCTGTCAACCAGAGACAAAAGCACTATGAAGCTAACAGAACCATTTTCTCCATGTCTGTATTCCAGATTCCCCCACAAGAGAATTGGATTGGCTCAACCTCACCTCTGGAATGGTTTCTCCTGGGCCAGTGTCCACCCCAAGGCCAATCTGCTGTGGCTGGGTGAGGGTGGGGTGCAGAGCCCCTTAGAAACTTGGCTACAGCAGCCTATCCTTAGGAGTTATTGGGGGCAGCTCAGTGCTGAGGAAGGAAGACACCTTTTCAGTGAGCTGGGAAAGTCTCCCCATGAAGGATCTCCCACGGTGAGATTAGGCAGGGGGCCCCAGCACAGATGAGATTGGTAGAGAATCTGACCTGCCTGAGGCAAGAGCTCATGATGAAGATTAGTGAGAGTCCAGCCTCCATTGAGTCATGGAAAGCTTTCCTGCTGCAGATGGAAAGGTTTCCTAGAATTCTGTCTCCAATCAACTGCAAATCTTCTAACGTGGGAGCATTGGTACCTTATGGCCGCAGAGACGTGCGATTAAGGCAGAGGATGGCTGTGCTGGCTAGCATGTTTCCATAAGAGATAACTTATTGGTTATTCAGAGGTCCGTCCAAAGCTGTGAGTCTAATTAGCTCTAATATCCTCTTTGCAGCAAAACCTAATGTGAAAACACATTTGGTTAATTAGCCTTGTGAAAATAACGCTCCCCACTTCTGCCCCAGCCTCCAGGTCTCTTCACTAGGCAGCCAGAGCCACGGCGTCCTGGGGAGAGCCAAGGCCCTGACTCTCTAATAACACAAGTGGACTCCTGGGAGCCCTTGCTCCACCCCTGGACTCCAGAGAATTGAGCTGTTTCTTCTCATCCTCTCCTCCTCTCCTCCTGGCTGAGACTTGCAGAGATGGATAGCAGCACAGTGTCTGACCTAGAAGGGCCACTGCGAAGCACCTCTTCATTTGATTTTATCTATCTATCCATTGATTGATCCATCTATCCATTATCTATTTTTCTTGTGGTACAACATACAATTTACCCTCTTTTTTGGAGACAGGGTCTCATTCTGTCATCCAGGCTGGAGTGCAGTGGTGTGATCATAGCTTGCTGAAGCCTGAACTTTCTGGGATCAAGAGATCCTCCCACCTCAGCCTCCCTAGTAGCTGGGGTTACAGATGCCCACCACTATGCCCAGCTAATTTTTTATTATTATTATTTTTTGTAGAGACAAGGTCTCCTTATGTTGCCCAGGCTGATCTTGAACTCCTGGGCTCAAACTATCTTCCTGCCTCCACCTGCCAAAGTGCTGGGATTGCAGGCATGAGCCACCACACCTGGCCAAATTTACCCTTTTAACCATTTGTAAGTATACAATTCAGTGGTATTAAGTACATTCACATTATTGACCAACCATCACCACAATCCCACCCAGAAATTTTTTTTCATCCCTAACAGAAACTCTGTATCCATTAAATACTAACTGCTGTGTAATAAATGTAGAATTAAATATAAATTCCATGTTATCCACTCCTGATATCCTAGCCCCTGATAACCACTATTCTACTTTCTGATTCTAAGAATTTGCCTATTCTAGGCATTTCATATAAGTGGAATCATATAATCTTTGTCCTTTTGTGACTGGTTTATTTCACTTAGAAAAATGTCTTCAAGTTCATCTGTGTGGTAGCATGTGTCAGAATATCCTTCCTTTTCAAGGCTGTGTGTATATACCACAGTTTGTTTATCCAGGCATCTGTGGATGGATATTTAGATTATTTCCATTTTTGCTGTTTGTAAATAATGCCACTGTGAATCTTGGTCTACAGGTTTATTAATTTTAATGTTTTATTACACAGGTAGCCCATGCTTATTGTAGAAAAATTAGAAAATGCAGATAATTAGAAAAGAAAAGCAAAGTCATCCTTAACCTCATCGTGGAGAGGTAACACTATGAACATTCAGTGTTTGTCCTTCCAAATGTTCTCTCATACTCCTTCAGGCTCTTCCTACATCTAGATATTCATATAGATGTAGCTATATTTGTAAACCAGATAGAAGTTCACTAAACATATCAGTTTTTGAAAACTACTTTTTAAACTTATTTTATCATGCATGACATCTCCATGTCTCCCTCTTCCTCTCTGATAGGTAGGCCAACCTGAATAGATACAGACAGTGCTACCTAAGCTAAAAGACTGCATTTTAATCTATTGTGCGGGTGTACCATTATGTGAAGTACCAGCATGTAATTTGCTAGTTTTGCAGGGTTGTTGGACACCGATTATTTTCAATGTTTTGCAATTACAAGCAACGCCATTGTGCATCCCTGTAGCTGAGTCATTGTGTATAGCCTTTAGCTATTCTCTTAGGATAAATTCCTAAGCAAAAATAATTGAGAACATCCTCATTTTACAAATATGGAAAAGAGTATTGATGTAAAGTGACTTGCCCAAACTTCCATGAGCATAATTTCATCATTATGCAGTTTATGTCATAAATGCAATGTATGTTTGCAGATCTCCTTTTGGGGTCTATCAGGAGCCAAAATCTTCATATTTACTGATCAGAGCCCCCTACCATGCTGACCCTCCTGAGCCCATCCTCCCCAGGGTCACTCCCTGGATCCTTCCACTGCTCCCCCTTGGGAGCTCAGTGTGTGCCAGGGTTTACCTGATCCACCAGTTTACACTGTGGTGAGGTGTCCATGGTTACTGGGGGTACCCCTTCAGCAGAGACAGCATTGACTAAAGATTCTTGGAGGGTGCATATATTTAAGGCAAGGATAAGCAAACCCAGGGATTTGGTTTCTGGAATTTCGGGCATGCTTTTATTGCACTGAAGTGTGTGCTCAATAAATACTTGTTAAAATAAAAAGGAAGGAAGAAAAAAAGAGGGAAAGAAGGAAGGGAAGCAGGGAGGGAGGAAACCTGGACCCTAATTCCGCCCCTTCCTAGTCTTGTGCCCCCATACTTCACCCCACTGTTGCCCCACCTTTCCCCCAAGTTGAGTTAAAATGGGTTTTCCTAATGAAGAGACTGCCAGGGAAGGGAGACAGAGAATCAGCTCCGTCTCTTTCCGAAGCTCCACATTCATTAAGCCATGAGCTTGGAAGTGCAGAGTGATTTATTGGACTCTGAGCAGCCATCAGTTAGAGCAGCATGATGAATTAAGTTGGTAATGCATTGAAGGCAAAGCCCTAATGCACTATGAGGTTCTAGCTTGGAGAATTTATGGAGATAAAATTGTAACTATAGAAGGAAAGTGGGAAAATTGGCCTGAATGTGGGAGAAACCGGGGAGGGAAGACTGACTCTTGAGGTAGTCCCTACACCCAAACAACTTCCCCACAGGCCTTTTGCTGATTTAAACGATCCATGCCCAACTGGCATCTGTGAGTTTGTACCACACAGATTCTAAATGACCCCTGCCTCCCAGCAGAAGCCTGGGGTCACATAACTGCAGTGTCTGATGAGCCTGGCACCCCTTTCATGTGGCCTCCACCACGAAAGGCACCATGATGACTCATTAGACTCCTCAGCAGACTGTAAACCCCTGGGGGGCAGACACCGTTTCTCCCACAATGGGACACAATCTTTGTTCCCTCTGTGTTTGTTGAAGAAACGAGTAATTCACACTTCATTCATTTACTCGATAAATGCAAATTTGAGTCACTTACAAAGTACCTATAACCCAAAGCTGAATGTGACGATCCCACAGGAAGGTGCAAAGAGCTGTGCAGGTTCAGAGGATAAAGTAAAGATCACACCGGGGATCCATGAAACCTACATGGAGAAGGTGGCATTGAGTGGGGGTCTTAAAGGATGGGTGAGATTTCATTCAGTGGATGTGAGGCTGGAGGACATTCTAGATCAGGAATGTCATCCCCTTGAGTCTAGGCTATTTCAGTAGAATTGTTGGAGAAATGAAAGGAAGGTAGCCTGGATCCAGAATGTGCTCTGGGACATCCTGTATATGATGGGACAGAATGTTTGAAGTTGCTACAATCTATCCTAATTATGTATGAATTCACATAGGTACAGCTGTGCTTTACAGAGATGCAGATTTATATAGATATGTATTACATATGCGCGTGTATCATAGTTTACAAAGAGCTCCCAAACAGCTCTAGAGAATAGTTAAATTTAATTATATCCATGTCACAGATGGGGAAGTTGAGGCCAAGCAAGCTAAAGTGACTTGCACAAGAAGAATAAGCAGCCCCAAACTTCTTTAAGCCCATTGTCCTGCACACCTTAGCACACAATGCCTAGCAAAGATGACTGAAATGAGCGCAGGGGACAAGCTAAAGGGTGTGTGTCATTGTCCATGTGTATAAGCCAGCCAACAAATATAGGTGCAACATCAGTTCCAACTCAAATGTCATTGGTGCCTGTCCCCACTTACTCAACCAGGTCCTCTCTGTCCCGTTACACCCAGGAGCCCCCATGGTTGTGCACCAGCGCAGCTACACTCTGGCCTGTCTGTTCTCTCCAACACTAGCCCTGCTATCAGCATCCTGGCTTCCAACTCTGTCCCAGCACTTTGTCATCCTGGGGACCCCGGGAGCCTGCTTTATGCCCTGAGCCTCAGAGGCTCTCCCTCTCCCCACAGTCCCTTCCCCACAGCTGGCAGAAGTTCTTGGGCCCTGGGTCCAAAGCACAATGTCCACAGCAGTTACCACACCCCTCTCCCTCCCATGGTTCTTCTCTTCATTACCCTATTCCCCTTCCTTCAGGCCCCTTACCCACAAATGAATCAGCATCACAGAGAGCCTCCTCCCTGTCTCTCATCAAGCACACCTGACAGTGACTTCCAGGACTGGGCACGACTTAGGCATAAACCAGGACTTCTTGGGGGTGTGTGTGTTATTAATGGATGTTTACACACACATTACAATCCCAAATTAAAAGTTTTTTTTTAAGTTGGCTGTTGTTACTCAGGATACAACTTCCCCAAGAACAGTTCTAATAATTAGTAGTCAGGCCTTCAGAAATTCATTTAATCTATAATGCTGAACTATAGTTAAATATTGACTTAGTATTATTAGTATGGATTTAGTGCTGACTCCTGGGATCAAGGAGGCAGCAAGAGAAAAGGAGAAAAAGGAAAAGGAGGCAGCAAAGGAAGAAGAGGAGGAGAGGGAGGAGGAAGAGGTAGAAGACAATAAGGAGGAGAAGGCAGAAAAGGAGGAGAAGGAGGAAGATGGGGAGAAGGGAAAAGAGGAAAAGGAAGAGAAGAGGAGAAGGAGGAGGGGAGAAAGGGTTGGGGGACCCTTCCTGCACCCCTCTCCAGCTATACCTTGTGCCCCTCAGGCTCTCACAGCAAACCTTGGAAGTATTGTCTGTAGACATTATTTCTACTTTCTCGATTCCTGTCTCTTCTCAGCTGACTCCAGTGAGCGTGTCATCCCCAGCACTCTGCTGGAACTAACTGCCCCGTCAAGGTCTCCAATGGTGGCCGTCTGGCCCACGTTCCTGTCCTCATCTTACCTGACCTCTTGGAGGCATTTGACATTACTGGCCAAGCCTTCCTTCTGGAAACAATTTCCTCTCTGCCTCACTTGGTACATGCCCTGACAGCTGCTGTTCTTCACCCCTCCCTGCAGGCACACCTTTCACCAAGTGACTTTGCAGCTCCTCTTATCAAAGAGGGGCGTCTATTTCCCACTCCCCTTAACTTTGGTTTCGCAGTATGACTTGCTCTGATCAATGGAGGGCTAGCCAGTGTGCTGTGACTAAAGACTTGAAAAGTCTCTGCTGTCTCGCACCTCTGCCATCACCATGAGAAGAATCCACTGGTCCCGGGAGAAAAATGAGAGATGTGCACGGCAGAACGGAGCCAGCATGGATGAGCCAAGGCCCAACTAAACCAGACTGGTAAGTGAAGTAAACGCTCATCCTCACACATCATGGAGGTTTGGGGGTTGTTTTTTACACACCAAGAGTTGACAATTACTGCTTCCACAGAACCACTCTCAACTTCTACCTCATTGCCAGCCATTCTGAGCTTTCTTTTTGACCCCCTACCTGCCACCCCAGGCCTCTACATCTTGAGAAACCCCGGAGCTCTGTCCTCAGCCTGTTCCTCTTCTTTATCCACAGTCTCCTCCCAAGTGAGCTCATGCAGGGTCGTGGCTTTAAACTCTGTGCTAATGACTCTCCAATTTATAGCCTGGCATTCTCCTGAACTCCACATCAGCATGGCCAGCTGTCTTAATGTAAAAATCTCAGGGGAGGAACAGCCAAGAGCAGGCTGGAGGATGTGCAGCCTTCTCAGATGCCTTCTCTCATACCCAAGATGGCCAAAATCTAATAGCTGGTCCTCCACCTAACCCCTCCTTCCACCAAACTCACTCTCCACACAACATGTCCTGATCTCAGTAAATGACACCATTTAGTGGCTCACATGAAAAACTTGTTTTCAAGTTTTCCTTCCTTTTTGTCTTCCCTCACACCCATACTGAATTCATTGTTAGTCATATAGTCTGTACCTCTAGAGCCTTTCGCAAGTCTGACCACTTCTCATGATCATCAGCGCTGCTACATCCCAATACAAGCCACCATCACCACTCCTGGTCTCTCAACCTCGACCCTTGCCTGCTGATAATCCATATTTCATGCAGCATAATCACATCTCTCCCTTTCAGTTTTCATTAGGATTGAATATGCCCTGCCCTCCTTCCTGGGGCCTGCCAGCCCTCCTCGCTGTCCGTCCTAGTCTTGCCTCCTGCTCCCCCCGGCCCTCCCTCGCTCCCTCCCTCTGTCCCTCAGCTCCTTCACACCCTCCAGCCTGCTCCTGGCTGTTCCTCCCCCTAGATTTTTACATGGTGGCTTGTTCCTCCTCACCCACACCTCCACCTAAATGCTCCCGCTACGAGTGGTGCTCCCTGACTAAAGTGGCTCCCCATCCCCCACCTCATTGACCTGTATTCTGTCCCTGCAGCATCTGCCAGTGCCCATGGTACCCATGGACTTTACTCGCCTGTTGCCTGCCTTCCTTCATAGAGTGTAGGAATCCCTGGAGGGCTGCCCTAAAAATGGGCCCTGGAGTATCATTTTTGATTGATAGGAGGAGGAAGGAGCGGAGGGGAAGGAGAAGAAGGAAAGAGAAGAGAAAAGAGCGATGGAGTTGGAGGAGTAGGAGAAAGTGCGGGGAGGAGGACAAGGGAGGGGAAGAGGAGGTTCTCCTCCTTCCTGGGCACGAGGCTATGGCTTCCAGCCTCCTCTTCTGTCCCTCCCTGCCACTTACTAGAAGAAATCTGCCCAGGCCCCGGAGTGACCCAAGGTCACCACGTTCCCCGCAGTGGCCCCAGTCAGTCCTTCATCTCCCGCAGGTGCTCGTGCATTCCCCAAGCGCTCCCTCACCTGCCCATGCTCAGCCCCAATACTCTCCATACTCTCTGGTGGAGGTGAGGAGGTAGCGGGGGTGAGGAGGTGAGAGGGTGAGGAGGTGGGGGGGTGAGGAGGTGAGAGGGTGAGGAGGTGAGAGGGTGAGGAGGTGGGGGGGTGAGGAGGTTGGGGGTGAGGAGGTTGGGGGTGAGGAGGTTGGGAGGTGAGGAGGTTGGGGGGTGAGGAGGTGAGAGGGTGAGGAGGTGGGGGGGTGAGGAGGTTGGGGGTGAGGAGGTTGGGAGGTGAGGAGGTTGGGGGGTGAGGGGGCGAGAAGGTGAGAAGGTGAGGAGGTAGGAGGGTGAGGAGGTGGGGGGGAGGGGGTTAGGAGGTTGGGGGGGTGAGAGAGTGAGGAGGTAAGAGGGTGAGGAGGTGAGGGAATGAGGGAGCGAGGAGGTGTGGGGGTAAGGAAGTGAGGAGGTGAGAGGGTGGGGAGGTGAGAGGGTGAGGGAGTGAGGAGGTGAGGGAGTGAGGGAGAGCACAAGCTGAGAAAACCAACTGCCTAGGTCCTGCCCAGGGCGACCTCTCTGGCAGAGTCGCCAGGCAAGGAGGACAAAATAAGGCAATGCAACACTTAAATGAATAGTCAAACTTGCCCCAAATCACAATGCAGACCTTCCGGAGCCAGGCGGGATGCAGAGAGGACTCCTTTCTCCTCAACAAGGGAGGGCTGGGGAAACTCAAGTCAAGCAGATCAAAGAGTAATTTGCCTGCTTTCCCAAACCCAGACATCAGCTGCTGCCGTTCCTATGTGAGGAAGGGTTTACCCCACAGCCGTGGGAAGAAGGGAGCAGCAACACTTGTCCCATGTTTTGGGGGTGAGAGGGTAATGACAGGGAGACAGAGGGCCTGGGGCTGAACCCTCCACACTCCCAGCCTCAGAGAGGGGCCGGAGGGCGGTGCCCACACCCTGCACCCTCACCCGCTCACTCTTTACCCTTGTCGTGCCCCCTACTTCCCTCCAGCTTTAACATAAGAATCAGACCAAGCAGGCAGCCCTTCTCCTCTTCGAGAGTGAAGTGACATGGGAGAGGAGGCAGGAGCCAAGAGATGCCTTGCTCACCTGGCTGTGGGCCAGGGAAGGTCTCCTTAGCGTGAGGCAGCCCTGCTGGAACTCTGTTCTGGTGAGTGGCTCTCAGCTCACCTGCTTGTCGCAGCTCTTTCCTCTTGTCCGTTTCTGAGCCTGCATGGTCCCTAAAAGCTTAGTCTTTTCACCACGTCTCTCTGGATAGCAGCAGCAGCCTCCAGACAGCCTGCAGACTGCGTGTGTGTGGTGTGTTGTGGGGTGTGGGGTGTGTGTGGTGTGTGTAGTGTGTCGGGTGTATGTGTGTGTCTGGTATGTGCGTTGCATGCATGTGGTGTATAGGAATGTGTGGTCTGGGCTCTGTGTGGTGCATGTGTGTGAGGGTAATTTTGTGGTGTGGGGTATGTGTGCACTATGTGTATAAAATTGTGTGTTGGTGGAGGGTGTGGGTTGGGGCTGTGGGATGATCATCACTGGAAGGTGAACCGCAGCTCCATGATAACCTTTTGTGCATACACGTCATTTGTAATTAGCCAGGTCTGGAGAGTTCGAAACTGGGAGAAGAGAAAGAAGAGAAGAGAGAAAAGGAAAATTAATGAAACAAGTAACCTGCCTTATATGGATATTTGATTTGCTTGTTTGCACATTGTTTAGTCCTTACAAGCTCTGAAAATAAAACACAAGCACAGTATCAGGCTCAATTAGGTGCTTAAGAAATACCTTTTGATGATGACAAATGGCAGGGATGTTAATGACACTGCTTCCCTCCAGCTCCTGCTGCACAGAGCGCCCTTGGCTCTTCAGACTTACAGCTCTTTGCCTGAGCTGCTGTGAGCAAGCCTCTGCTGCCCACAGGAGATGGCCCTGTGGGCAGGGCCTCCCTGTGTCTTTTCACCTTTTGAGACAACCCCATCCACCTCTTTGGGCAGCAGCTCATAGCAGGTGCTCCCTGAACATGTCTGCCTTTGACTTGAAGGGGTCGGGACGCCGCTTGAGGATGCTAAAGGGAGGCAGCTCATTGTAATGCCTTCACCTCCACCACTTCCAGGAACTCCTCCTCTCCTTGTGGATCTCAGGGCTCATACGGTTTGCCCAGAGCCCAACAGCTACAAGTGCACTCAAACAGAACATTCCTCCGTGCGTTTGCTCTTGCAAAATGTGTGTTGGGGGCGGGGGCGGTGGCTCATGCCTGTAATCCCAGCACTTTGGGAGGCTGAGGAGGGTGGATCACCTGATATTAGGAGTTTGAGACCAGCCCGGCCAACATGGTGAAACCCCGTCTCTACTAAAAATACAAAAATCAGTCCAGCGTGGTAGCAGGTGCCTATAATCCCAGCTACCTGGAGGCTGAGGCATGAGAATCGCTTGAAACCGGGAGGCAGAGGTTGCAGTGAGCTGAGATCGTGCCACTGCACTCCAGCCTGGGCCACAGGGTGAGACTCCGTCTCAAAAAAAAAAAAAAAATGTGTGTTGGATCCCATGGTTCCCCTGCTGCCCAACACACCGAGAACCAAACGCACACTTGCACGCTCGCCGTGGGGCCTCAGTCACCTCCTGACTCCCAAACACACAGCTCTCACTGCTGCCTCCCGTGCTCCCCCAGGCCAGCGCTGGCTCTCTCAGTGCTAGTATCTTTTTATAAGGATACCAGTCGTGCTGCATTAGAGCCCACCCTACTCCAGCATGACCTCATCCTAACTTAACTAATTACATCTGCAGTGACCCAATTTCCAAATAAGTTCACATTCTGAATTACTGGGGGAATAGAATTTCAACATATGAATTTTGAGGGGACACAGTTCAACCCATTACTGCAGCTATCCACAGAAGAAAGTCCAAATTCCTTATGTGGCATTCAAGGCCCTCTGTAATCCAATGAGATCCACGTTTCCAGCTGTTTCTCTTCTTCTTCTCCCCTAGGTGCACACATGTGATACTGTTTTGTATCAAGGCAGGATTCTGAGATTAAGTGAAGAAAGGGGAACAGTTAGGAGAGTAGCATCTGCTGAATGTTTACTAAATGCCACCGTCAATGACAAGTGTGTTTTATCTACGTCACTCTACTTTTTTTTTTTTTTTTTTGAAACAGAATCTCACTCTATTGCCCATGCCGGAGAGCAGTGGTGCGATCACAGCTCACTGCAGCCTCAAACTCCTGGGCTCAATCAATCCTCCCAATGCAGCCACTGTGGAAAATGGTATAACTTTCTCAAAAATTAAAAATAGAATTATCAAATGATCCAGCACTTCCACTTCTGAGTATATACCCAAAAGAATTCTAAGCAGAGATTCAAACAGATATCTGCACACTCATATTTATAGCAGCATTATTCACAATAGCCAAGAGGTGCAAACAACCAAAGTGTCCATCAAGAGCTGAATGGATAAACAAAATGTGGTCTATCCATACAATGGAATATTACTCAGGCTTGAAAAGGAAGAAGATTCTGATACATGCTACAACATGAATGAACCTTGAGGACATTATGCTAAATGAAATAAGCCAGTTTCAAAAGGATAAAAACTATATGATTCTACTTACATGAGGTACATAGAACAGTGAAATTCACAGAGACAGAAAGTTGAATGGTGGTTTCCAGGGGCAAAAAAAAAAACAAGGGAAGATTCACACTCCCTTGCAGGTTTCTCTCCACAGACCTCACCAGGTGTCAAAAAAAGAGTTCTCCAGGGGATTCCAATGTCTGCCAAGCTGTAAAGCCATCGGCCTTTTGGGTAGTTATCTTCATTTCTTCTTTGGGGAGAAGCTTGATTTTCTGTAAGCTGCAGAAGATAGCTCAAACCAGCAGCTCAGCCAGTTAAGGGGACGGAGGCTGCTGGTCTGCATCCTTCCAATGGTCTTTCGTCTCCCTTTTTCTCCTAACTTAAAGCTTTCATGATGGAGAAGTCTTCCCTGTTGTCTGCAATTTTCCTTCTCTCAAAACAACCTTCTGAATCCTCTTTTGGGGTGGGGTTTCAGATGTTGTGAAACCATCACATGCTTATGAACTAGCAGACATACAGCACCGGAAGTTGAGAGGGTGGACTGCTATTAGACTGCCTGGGCTGAGTCCTGAGGGCACCTCTTGCTTGCTTGAATGACTTCGGGCAAGTTACTTCACCTCTCCAAGATGTCATCGGGGCTCATCAAAGTACCCGCCCCATGAGGTCTCCTTGTGAGAACAACATGAGAAAAGCCTGTGCAAAATGCTTGCCTGCCACGTAGAAAAAAAGCTTCCATAAATGTTGGTTCATATTGTGAGCTTTCAAATCAACCAAGTGTGAATAATTTCTACTTCATTCCATTGGCTATGGCAGGGGAATACAAAGATTTGTCAGAGCCATTTCCAGCCTACAGGAGTTTACAGCTATCTGACTTTACAGCTACGAGTGCCGTGAGAGAGCTACAAACCCAATGCTGCAGGTGTTCAAAGTCAGAGATTTAATAACCACGGAGCCGGGAATTAGGGAAAGCCTAATGGTGAATGGATTTAAGCTGACCCCGGTGGAATATGAAGTACAAAGCTGACTTCCCTGCAACTCTGTCTGGTGACATCCTTTTCTTTTTCCAAAGAGATACTCAAGACTCAGAGAGATTCAAAACCACCCAAGGGTCACAGGTGGTTTATCAAAACCCCCACCCCACCCCCCAAATACACACCAAAAAGCTAGGTTTAATAATCCATGACTCAGAACCTGGAAGGCTCTCTGCAGGGCTGAGGGGCCTCGCCGGCTGTCTATGACTGCTGCCCGCCTAGCAGGCACTGACCCAGGCCCCAGGCTCCAGGACAGTGTGCTGTCAGCCAGAGGCAGCTGTCAGCCAGACTGCTCCCCTCCTCTCAGCCTGGCAGGGGTACTCAGGGTAGTTCTCTCTGTTGGGGACCCTAAGCATGAAACAGTATTGGAGGAGGCTGTGCTGAGAAACCCACTGAGGGAGGAAGGCTGACGGTCTGTGTTCTTCTAGTGGTCTCTCTTCACCCTTTGTTCTCCTAGCATAAAGCTTTCACGATGGAGATGCCTTCCCCATCATCTGCAGTTTTTCTTCGCTCAAAACAAGCTTCTGAGACATCTTTCCGGGGAGCTTTGGTCATTAGAGCTTGGGAGAGGGAGGCCCTTCTCTTCCGGTGTCCTCACAGGGTCTCTGTCATTTAGATTCTTGTTGAACAACTGGGCTTTGGAGGGGGTTGGAGGAGACAGTGAGTGATGGTGCTGGGGCCCAGGGCCATTCCAAGCAGAAGAAAGGCACTAGCAGGGGCATGAGGCAGGACAGCCCAGGGCATGTGTGGACATCTGGGAAGAGTCTGTCTATATTCTGACTAGGAAGTGTACATGTGAAGGAGTGAGAGGTTAGACTTGAAAGATGAGGGTAGGTGTGGGCCAGACTGCAGAGGGTTGTCCTTACTGCAGTGGATCACGGGGAACCATGGAAGCTTCCAGAACAAGAAGTGAGCTGAGACAACAACTGTGACATATAGTTTGTTGAGTGAATGAATGAATGAATGTCTG
Organism: Homo sapiens; assembly: GCF_000001405.40. Taxonomy (NCBI): domain Eukaryota; kingdom Metazoa; phylum Chordata; class Mammalia; order Primates; family Hominidae; genus Homo; species Homo sapiens. Next base: position 223,484,399 of record NC_000001.11, read on the forward strand.
AGGAAGACACGACAGTGGCAGGAGGGGAGAGTCCCCTACAACAAGCCCCACAGCCCTGCTGCATATGCTTAGGTAACCAGTGTGAACTGCTCTGCAAATTCAGACCTCAAGTAAAGTCATATCTATTCTATTTTTTACAAATGAAAAATAAAGCCAGCTCAGACCTACATGCCAGAGGAATGAGAAGTCCAAAATCTCTCTCCTGGTACTCCCTGTATCCCTCCCTGCTTTTTGCTGTCAGCTGCCGTTGACGCTGGTCCTCTGAGTCTAAGACAGTGCTGACTGCTGCCCAGGTACAGGCTTCCTTGATCTCCAAGGGAGGAGTGTGCCCACATAGTGCTCCGTGGCTCCCTCAGTTCTCAGGGCTCTGGTACTCACCTCCTTCAGGCCCACACCCAGGCATCCCCCTAAGGACAGCAGTCCTAGGAGCCTCCACGGAGTCTCTCAGGCCTCCACCTCTGTGCCTTCATGTCCTGCCTTCCCTAAACACCCATCACACAGGAAGTGGGGCAACTTTCCTCTTCCAGCCTTGGGACACAGAGGACAACAGCTTTCCTGGAAATGTGGTCACCCTAAGTATTGCCAGGGGTCCAACAGCCTCCGAATGCAAAGGGTCTAAAGACACCTTTTTCTCCAAAGATGAAGTCACTCTCCCTCTTCAACACAGAGATCCAGATCCTCTCCTGGGAACCCAACACCCCCATCCCTTTTCAGGTGTGAAAGAGGCTCCGTTTAGTGCCTCAAAAAGGACTTACTCCACTAAGAAAAACCAAGGAAATGCCAAGATCTCTTTTTGGGAGCAGAAAAAGAAGAAAAAGGGAGAAGGGAGGAATATTGAGGATCTCCCACTATGTTTATATTGTAACATTTTTCATCCTATATTATAATTTCTGCTATTTTACTTGGAATTTTCCTTAAAATTAGATATCCTTTATATAGTAAAATCTCTAGCATATAGCATTTGTTTATTAGTTACTGAGGAGGAAGGAGAGGAAACAAAGAAGCTAGAAGATGGAAACTGAGATTTCATCTTTTGCATGGCAGGTGCCCTAAGCCTCCAACAGCCTTATAAGGAAAGTATTGTTATTATTATGATTTCACTGATTTAAAAAATTGAAGACATAAATGAGACGAGTAAGTGAATAAATGGCAATGCCATTTCTGTCTTCCTTTCCACCATGCAAACATGGCTTACTTTCCTGAATCATAAAACATTTTTCAAGACGTCAGAGAGCCAAAAAAAGTATATTAAAAACAGATTAAAGCAGTATGGTTTCTGAACCATTCAGTAAAGGATGAAAATAGCTTTGTTATCCAGAGACTGTCTTCATAAAGTCATTATTATCATGAGTTAGAACCTGTATTAACTCAGAAATTAAAATAGTGCTGTGTGCGGCAAATTCTGAAGACACACTCCATGATTTTCAGAGCACCTATTATTATTCTCCTGAACTTTAGCTGGATCTGAATGATTTACCATAAGAGGATCCTGTTTAAATGTTCTACTTCACAAAGAAAAAGTAATAAAATTGGATGATTCTGAAAACCTTATTTTTATATTAATTAGGAATGAAGTACAAACTCTAGAATAATCAGTCCAATGCTGGCATTTAGAAAGAAAAAGAAGTCCTCACACGTACTCCCCAGGTTTCCCAGGGGACAGTTCTGGGACCTCAAGCAGACTTGGAACAGTCCCTGTGGAAGAAAGTCATTTACAGGCTTGATTCTAATTGATCCCAACAGCAGCAGCTGTAACCATATACTTTTAATCAAATCTAAAGGCAAACTTAGGACAAAATATGTGTTCTTCTACTAAAACACACAGTGCATTTTTCTGAACTATATGATTACATTTTCTGGAAAGGACTTGGGGAATTATTCTTGTTCTAACCTCCGAGAGATATTGCCCTCTGTATTTGGCAGTCTCTGTGTCTGTTTCTGATCTTCTGTTCTGGGGCACCTCACTCTGACGGGTCCCTTTAGGGCTGGAGTTTGCCACATGGTCACAATCTTCAGCCGTGGGGTGGAGACTCTTTGACAGGTGATCCCTTGTCTGCTGAGCTCTGCCCAGCCCTGTGAGGAGAAAGGCAGCTAGCCTGCACAGCCTGGTGCTCCAAAGATGGATCCTCTCAGAACAAAGGGGAGCAGGTGTAGGGACAGATGCCACCTGTAGCAACAGCTTTCATCCAGAAGGGGTCCCCAAGCTAATCCAGTGCTTGGTACATTTGCATTCTCCCATTAATATCACAGGCACAATACTTTAGGTGAGAAAGAGAAGACCACAAATGAACAGAGATCCTTCCATATTTGCTTCACGGAAGCCCTCCCCTGAGCTACCTGAGGGTAGGTATAATACCTTATCTCTCACTCACAACACCTGCAATAACAGGTACATGACAGATGATGAAAGGGGCTGTATTAGTCTATTTTCACACTGCTATAAAGAACTGCCAAAGACTGGGTAATTTATAAAGGAAAGAGGTTTAATTGACTCAGTGCCACATGGCTGGGGAGGTCTCAGGAAACTTACAATCATGGCAGAAGGCAAAGGGGAAGCAAGGCACCTTCTTCACAAGGTGGCAGGAAGAAGTGCCGAGCAGAGGGAGAAGAGCCCCTTATAAAACCATCAGATCTAGGGAGAACTCACTATCATGAGAACAGCATGGGGGAAACAACTGCCCTCGTGATTCACTTACTCCTCCTGGTCCCACCCTTCACATGTGGGTTTTATGGGGATTACAATTCAAGATGAGATTTGGGTGGGGACACAAAGCCAAACCATATCATTGATGAATAAAGGAAGGAAAGGAGGGAGGGAAGAAAGGAGAGAGGGAGGGAGAGACAGAGGGAAGGAAAGGAATCCCAAGAATGAAAAGTTCAAGTTATGAGAAAGGGCTTCTTTAAAACCAGAGATCAAATACAACCCTAGGGGAGCAATGAATGGAGCTATTTCCATTCTCAATGAACTCTCATTCAGGGAGGAGCCCACACATGCTAAAATATCATCCGCCAGGGTAAGAGTTCGCATTTTCATAAAGGATCATGTAATTAAGTTGATTCACTGGTGGTTTGTAAAAACCCTCATCCTTGCCACCCCTCACTCTCTACACACGCACCAAAAATCTAGGTTTAATAATCCATGTCTCTGGTCCTGGAAGGCTCTCTGTGGGGCTGAGGGGCCTGGCTAGCTGCCTGTGGCTCCAGCCCACCTAGCAGGCACCTTCCCAGGCCCCAGGCTCCAGGAGAGTGTGCTGTCAGCCAGAGACATCTGTCACAGTCAGACCGCTCCCTTCCTCCCAGCCTGGGGGACCACACAGGGTAGTTCTCTCTGTTGGGGACCTTAAGCATGAAACAGAATTGGAAGAGACTGTCCTGGGAAACCACAGGGCGGGGGAGGCTGATGGTCTGTGTTCTTCACCCTTTGTTCTCCCAGCATAAAGCTTTCACGATGGAGACGCCTTCCCCGTGGTCTGCAGTTTTCCTCCTCTCAAAACAAGCTTCTGAAACATCTTTTGGGGGAACTTTGGTAATAGAGCTTGGGAAAGAGAGGCTCTTCTCTTCCAGTTGTCCTCACAGTGTCTGTGTTATTTAGGTTTCTATTGAACAAATGGGCTTCAGGAGTGTTTGGAGGAGGGCACTTAGCAATTTGAAGTGGCCCAGGAATGTCAAGCATCCAGATGCACCTGGAATATTAGGAGTTTAAATCAAGTACTGGCAAATTGCAGCTTGCCGGCCAATCCAGCCCTTGGCCTGTTTTTGTATGAGCAGCAAGCTAAGATGGTTTTTATATTTTCAAAGGATTCCAAAACAAAGAAGAAGGTACAACGGAGATACACGTGGCGTGCATATCCTAAAATCGTTACTCTGGCCCTTCATAGAATAAGCTTGCAAGCCCCTGGTAAATAGAAATGCGATAGATCAAAAAATGTGCACCATGCACAAGAAAAGGTAAAGCCCCAGAAGGATCCCTGAGGGCCGACATTCATGCCCAGTTGAGAATGATGCCACCTCAGCAGGCTCTGGAGCATGTGGTTGGTTAAGGCAATGAGAGCAGAAGCCTCCCAGGACTGAAATGAATTGAGATTTTACAATGTGGAAGGTGTGATGGTTAATGTTTTGCATCACCTTGGCGGCCCTCACATAGTTGGCCGAACACATCTGCATGTTGTCAGGAAGGCATTTTTAGGTGAGATCAGTAGGCTTTGAGCAAAGCAGATTGGCCTCTGGGTGGGTCTCATTCAATCCAATGAAGCCCTTAAGAGAACAAAGATTGACCTCTCCCGGGGAAGAATAAATACCACCAGCACATTGTCTTATGGCTGCAACATCAATTCTTCCCTGGGTCTCCAGCCTGCAGACCCACGCTGCAAATTTTGGACTTACCAGCTGCCTCTACTATCACGGAAGCCATTCCTTAAAGCAAATCACCTGAGATGGGGAGTTTGAGACCAGCCTGACCAACATGGAGAAACCCCGTTTCTACTAAAAATACAAAATTAGCCAGGTGTGGTGGCACATGCCCGTAATCCCAGCTACTCGGGGGGCTGAGGCAGGAGAATCGCTTGAACCCAGGAGGCAGCGGTTGTGGTGAGCCAAGATCACACCATTCTACTCCAACCTGGTCAACAAGAGCAAAACTCCATCTCAAAAAAAAAAAAAAACAAAAAAACAAAACAAAACAGTAAATCTCCCCTCCTATCAACATCTTATTGACTCTGTTTCTCCAGAGAACTCTAACTACTACAAAGGGCTGAACAATAAACAAATCTTTGCAAAACTTGCTCTCTGGCTAGAAGTAAGGCCTACTATGGCTTGTTCCTGCAATGCCACCGGACATCTGGGTAAATAAAAAGCCAACATGTCTGCATATTAGACTAGACTCTGCTGTCTCTATTTTTTCACAAGCCGCCCATGGGGCGGAGGACACACAGCAAACAGGCTCCTGGTAACTGCAGCACTCTCTCTCCAGGGGCTTCTTCCATTTTTTGTACACATCTCCAAGGCTTTGAAAGAGTGCTCAGGGCATGGCTCAAATCTAAGTGTTCTGAGGTTGGCAGCAGGGTCCTGGCTCTGTTCACTGTCTCTCCTCCTATGTAGGAAGCATGCAGTGATGTAAAGCCCACAGGCTGGGAGCTGCCTGGCTCAGGCTCCTGGGAAGCGGGCTCTGAGATAGAGCTTAGCGGGCAGGGAGGTTATTGGGCAGTGTTGTTGGACCATCTTCGTTGGGTGAGTGAGTCTGGCTATTCCAGGAAGGGAACATGGTCTGGCTGGGACTCTCTTTGGCTGAGGGCAATTCCCAGAAAGGACTCAGCTGCGAGCCAGCAGGAGGCAACATTCCCAGTGACTGGGAGATGAGATCCTCAGTCCAGGGTGGGGCATCTGAAGGGTGCTCCCCAACATTCACTACAGTGGGCTTCGGCAAATCACTTCCCAAGCAGGGCGCCAGCTTCCTTGTCTGCAGCCCCCATTCCCCCAGGCTTCATCCGCCTATGGAGACGAACAAGGTCCCTCCAACAGAAATGGCCTGAGTTTGCAACAAATCCTTCCCAAAACGAATGTAACTCACATGTGGGCAGGCTTCACACTGGTGTCTATCAATGTCATATCTGTAGCACTGACCAATATCACTATTTGATCAGCAGAGATTCCAGTGTTTTCTCGGGAGGTGTAGAGTCGAGTCATTGCCTCTAGAAGACCCAGGCAGGGTGGGCAGGGGAGTAGAAGGGCTCACAGATAAGAAAGCTGCTGCCTCTGTCTTCTGTCCAAAACTCCTATACTCAGATGCCCATGGGAGTCTAACCAGGCCTATGTGTGCCCAGTGACCAGGCAGTTTCAGACTGCCTCCAGTCTGCCAACCTCACCACCTCCTGCCCCACCTCTGGCCTGCAGACAAGTTCTGTCCCCTTCTCATGACCAGCTCCTTCAGAAGGAGTATTGGTTAAGGAGGGACAGCTCTCACCTTGATGCCCCAGCCCTTGGCCTCCTGGCTCCAGGCACCATGGGAGGGCGCAGTAAGGATAGCCAGGCCAGCCTCCCACCGTACCTGGAATGTGGGCCACAGTTCCCTCCAGCACCACGCCTTGCTGCCTAGACTGCTCCACTCATCAGATCTTTGCCTCACTCACTGCCACCTCCCCACAGGAGTCATATGTGTTCTTTCCAAACCATCTGACTTGGGGAAACCCAGGCCATCATCTGTGCCTAAACCCCAGTTGGGAGCTGGCTTTAATTATTTCCTACTAGACTCCTGGGCTGCCATCAAACCAAAGAATAATGCGTGTGGACATCATCTCACCGCTCAGCCCCTGCCAGGAGAGTTGAGAAACTCCCCTCGCTCCATGACTATTTTGGAGGCTGCCCGCTCAGAGACGATCTAAGAGAACTATGAGAGCCTGGCTCCAATGACATCAAAGAAACTGGGGGCTTTTCATGTGAGTTTGACAAAGGGGTCAAAGAAATGCTTTTTAAAAGCACATGTTAAAGTCTCCCCACCTCCACTTGTAAATGGCCACAGTGCCACTGGTCACACCCTCAATATACCCAGGATTGAGACTGCTGCTATTTGGCTCAGAAGAGCTGGGTTCCTCCTCTGGCTCTTCCCTTTTTGCAGGATGTACTCATCCTAACGGGGCCTAAACTTTCCCATTTGCAAAATGGAGATAGGCCAGCCTTGACTATCTGAGTGTAAACTTGGACATCAAGTGAAGGGACATCTGTGAAAAGAATGGGTCAACTATAAATGACAAAAATGTGGGGTCTCCTTTTCCCACATCCTGGTCTATCAGCCAGGGCCATGCTGTGATGTCATTAGTGCAGGCTGCTTATTCTCTGTTCCTCAGCCTAGGCCTGTGCCTCTTGGCCAGAGGCAAAGATGTGTATCAGAATCACCTGGAAGCTTTTTCACAGCACACGCTCCCCCGAGTGAAGGCTCTGAGATACCCTGGTAGGGGATAGGGGGAGGATGTGGGTTTTTAAAAAGTTCCCTAAACAGTTCCATCATGAAACCTCCACCTCTATGCCCAGCTTTCTCAAGCTCAACTGCCCAAGGAACCCAACGAGAAACAACAGCCCCCAAATTTCCAACACCTTTAGCTAATTCAAAGTCTACACCCAGCAAAATTTCATCAAACCTTCCTGGAGAGTAAATGTCACCAGGCATGACATCCTTCTCTCTCTCTTTTCTGGATGTAGCATCTCTATTACACAGCACACTTGCTCCCCTTCCGAGGCTGATTGTCCCGTCTGGAGCCAGTTCCTGCTGGAGAGGCCTGTGGTGCGGCAAATGGTTTCTAAAGGTCCCTTCCAGCTCTGAATTTTTTTTTTTTTTTAGATGGAGTTTTGCTCTTGTTGCCCAGGCTGGAGTGCAATGGTGTGATCCTAACTCATTGCCACCTCTACCTCCTGGGTTCAAGCGATTCTCCTGCCTCAGCCTCCTGAGTAGCTGGGATTACAGGCATGTGCCACCACGCCCGGCTAATTTTGTATTTTTAGTAGACAGAGGGTTTCTCCATGTTGGTCAGGCTGGTCTCAAACTCCCGACCTCAGGTGATCCACCCGCCTCGGCCTCACAGAGTGCTGGGATTACAGGCGTGAGCCACTGCGACTGGCCCCAGCTCTGAAATTTAATGAAACCCATCTTTTCTAAAGCCATTCTACAAAGTGACAGTGGCTTCCTGTGGGAGGTAAAGAGACTCCCTGGAAGTCATTAACATTTCTGAATCTTATGGGGTGCTAGGAAAGCAGTTTGGAAGGGGGCCAAACCAAATTTGGAGCCCAGGGAGGCTCGCTTTGGGGCGATCCTGGCAAGCCCACATTCCGAGAAAGTGTACCTCAGCGATGAGGCCACCGCTGGCTCTCAGCCTGGAGCTCCTGGCCTGGGGCAGGGAGAGAGAAGGGGCCTAAGAGTGGCTGGCACTTACTGAGCATGTCTTATGCCCCAGGCCAAGCCTGTCCGTGATCCGGTTCATCTATTCTTCACAACAACCTATGCAGTAGGTCCTTTGTGAAACCACTTGCAGGTAAGGAAGTTACTAAAGCTCTGAGACAGTAAGTGACTGGGCTGACGGCCAGAAAGAGTCAGGACGAGGATGCACCCCTAGCTGTCAAACTCCTATCTTCTGCAACCAGACAGAGGTGGGGCAAGATTCTAGGAGAAAAACCGAGCAGAAGGAGGGGTTGTCAGGAGTTGTCGTTCAATGGGTATGAAGTTATAATTATACAAGACGAGTAAGTTCCAGGGGTCTGCTGTACAGTATAGCACCTATAGTTAACAGTAAGGTAGAGTATCTCCCCTTATTTGTGGGGAATATGTTCTGAGACACTCAGTGGGTCCCTGAAATTGCAAATAGTACTGAACCCTATATATATATTATGTTTTCTGCTATACATCTGTATGTATTACAAAGTTTAGTTTGTAAGTTAGGCACAGTAAGAGATTAACAAAAATAATAACAAAATAGAACAAGTATAACAATATGCCAGCATCACTACTCTTGCACTTTGGGGACTTTATGAAGTAAAATGAGGGTTGTTTGAACACAAGCACTGTGATACCAAGACAGGCGATCTCACAACCGAGACAGCTACTAAGTGACTAAAGGGTGGATGGTGTAGACAGCGTACAAAGCAATGATTTGTGTCCCAGGTGGGACGGAGCAGATGATAAGAGACATCATCATGCTACTCAGAAGGATGATGAAAGGGTGCACAATTTAAAATGTATGAACTGTTTATCTCTGGAATTTTCCATTTAATATTTTCAGACTACAGTTGACCGTGGGTAACTGAAACCACAGAAAGCAATATGGCAGATAAGGAGGGACTGCCGTATTTTGCACCTAAAAATGCATTACAAAAGGGGATCTCGGGCTGGGTGTGGTGGCTCACACCTATAATCCCAGCACTTTGGGAGGCCGAGGCAGGCGGATCATGAGGTCAGGAGATCGAGACCATCCTGGCTAACACGGTGAAACCCTGTCTCTACTAAAAATACAAAAAAATTAGCAGGGCGTGGTGGCGGGCGCCTGTAGTCCCAGCTACTCGGGAGGCTGAGGCAGGAGAATGGCATGAACCCAGGAGGCGGAGCTTGCAGTGAGCCAAGATTGCACCACTGCACTCCAGCCTGGGCGACAGAGCAAGACTCCATCTCAAAAAAAAAAAAAAAACAACAACAACAACAACAGAAAAGGGGATCTCATGACAAGGGCTCTTAGCACACACTGAAAAAAAAGGAACCCAGGGAAACTTCTGGAGGTAATAGCTATGTTTATTATCTTGATTGTGGCATGGGTAGCATAAGTGTGTACATATACACTCCCCAAATTGTATACATTAATTATGTGTAGTTTTTTTGTATATCCATTGTACCTCCATAAAGCTAAGGGGTGACTAAATGGCCTGCCAGACATGGAGCTCTCAGCAGGCCCTTCCTTTAGCTCAGCGCGTAGGGAGTTAGGGACGTATATGTGCATTGAGGAGGAGAGGAGTAAAGATCTCTTCCTGGAGGGCGATGCTTCACATCGTTGGATTTCCAGATAGGGTCTCATGCTGCCACCCAGGCTGGAGTGCAATGGTGCCATCATAGCTGTCTGAAGCCTCCAACTCTTGGACTCAAGCAATCCTCCTGCCTCAGCCTCCTAAGTGGGACTACAGGCGTGCACCCATTATGCCTGACTAATTCTTGTATTTTTTGTAGAGATGAGGTCTCGCCATGTTGCTCAGGTTGGTCTCGAACTCCTGGGCACAAGTGATCTTTCTGCCTCGGCCTCCCAAAGTGCTGAGCACCTGGCCAATACTTCCCATCTTACCAGACTTTGGATTGCATGGTGTAGTCTCAGGAGGCTGCCCGAGTGTGACCCTGTCTCCTTCTCCTGGACCTTCTCTCTTTATCTCTTTCTCAGCGTGTGTGCAGCCTGAAGCGCCACACCATTTAGAGCTCAGCAGAGCTGTCTTCTCTGGTCTTGGTGTTCTATCCGTCCTACTTTTCTAGGATTCCAGGCAGATAACATCCTCATTTGAACTGAAAACACCCTGGGCACTGGGGCTCTTCAAGAGCCTTGCAGGCCTGAGTCTTGGCGCTATGGCCCAAAATAAGAAGGCGTGAGAAAGCCTGAACCTCTACCCTTCTTCCACACACTGGCCTGCTCAGGGAAAGCAGAATATTTCCATTTATTTTTCCTTTTCTTGTTTTTTTAAACACTTATGTCTTATAATAGCTGGTATTCTTCAATGTTGACTCTCATCATTATAAAGCCCTTATTCCCTAAATGTTTGCTCAACATTTTTTGTAGAGCAAAGGACGGGGAGCTACAGGCCTCTGCAAACAGACGCTTCTCAAAGGCAAGGGAGGAATGTGCTCAAGGAAATCTAAATCCAGAGGGTCGTGGTCCCAGAGCCCTTGGCTGAGCCCTGCAAGTTTCTCCGGGCAGCCAGAGGGCTGCAGCTCATTGCGGAGGCTGCAACATTGCTGCCTTCAGAACCCACTAATTGACAAGCCACTGGGGCCTGCAAAGCCCATGGAGGCTATTAGAGAAAAGGTCATCCCACCTCCCACCCAGAAGTACCACATGGGACGTGCCTGCAAGCAGCAATAACAGTAGGATGGTTCCAGTGATCCATATCCCAGTGAGGCCTCTGTGCTCAGGCCTCAGCACGCCGGAAGGTTCTTTGGGGAGCTCTGAGACCAGGGCTGGCTCAGGTGTATCTCAGATGGTGCCCCAAGCCAGGGATCTCCAGCGACTTCTTGGCTGTCGGAACTGTGGCCTCTCCTGTGACCACTTCTCTTTGCATTAACTCCCTATATTCATGAACTCCTTGTGGTTTTCAAGACGCTCTCACTCACATATTTTATTTGATCCTCACATTTCCCTGGGGGAAGGCAGATATGGGTGCCATTTTGCAGGTGAGTAAACTGAGGCACTGAAAGCTTAATGGCTCACCTAAGGCCATTTGGCTTCTAAAGAGAAACCGGGGACTAGAAGCTAGGCCTTGGCGCTGCGTCCCAGTGTCTTCCCCGCTGCACTGAGTGCCTCCCTGCCACCCCAGGATTTATGGCCTTTGTCCCTTTCAGTGAATGGCCCCATTTACCAGCCCCCAAGCCAGAAAACTGGGGGTCACCACCACTCCTCCCTCCTCACCCATTCTACCCTAAATGTCTCTGCAGTCCACCCCCTGCACTCTGTCCCTACAGCCACTGCCTAAATTCAGGTCCTTATTTCTCACGTAAAGTAATGCAGCACCCTCCTCACCATCCTCCACCTGACAGTCAGAACACAGACTTGGGTAGGTTTCTTCCTGAGCAATCCTTCAGTGATTCCCCACAGCCCTCAGGAGAAAGCCTACATCCAGAATAGCCTTCGAGGCCTCCCATGAGCGGCCTGCTTCTTTCTCCTCCATCACCCAGCCATGCAACTGTTGATCCTATCCATTCCCTGTGCTCAACAGGCACCCACCCACTACCCACCCTGCCCTCAAAATCTCACTGGACAGCTCCTGGTCAGCCTTCAATATGGGCCTTGGCCTCACCTCCTCTGGGAAGCCATCCCAGACTCCTCCAGCCTCAGGTAGGGGCTCCCACTGCCCCAGGGGTCTCCTCCCGTGATGAGGCTGCTTGTGCTGTGATATCACTGTGGATGGTCATTCCTGTCTCTCCTACTGGACCGTGAGTTCCACTGTGGGGGCTCTAACCTCTGTATCACCTGGGCCTGGCTTAGGACATGCGTTTAGAGGCACTAAGTAGGTCCAAGGACTTCCATTGGATTACTGAGATGCGGACTCTGTTTAGTGTTAGGATGTTAGAATCCTTCCCCAAATCTTCATTCTGTCTGGGTCTGACTTGGCTTCCTCGAAAAAGTGCTGATGCTGGCCGGGCGCGGTGGCTCACGCCTGTAATCCCAGCACTTTGGGAGGCCGAGGCAGGCGGATCACGAGGTCAGGAGATCGAGACCATCCTGGCTAACACGGTGAAACCCCGTCTCTACTAAAAATACAAAAAATTAGCCGGGCGTGGTAGCGGGCGCCTGTAGTCCCAGCTACTCGGGAGGCTGAGGCAGGAGAATGACGTGAACCTGGGAGGCGGAGCTTGCAGTGAGCCGAGATCGCGCCACTGCACTCCAGCCTGGGCGACAGAGCGAGACTCGGTCTCAAAAAAAAAAAAAAAAAAAAAAAGTGCTGATGCTGAAGTCAGCCAGGCTTCCCGGCCCCCAGCAGCCTCGCCCTCACCCACACCCCACCCACCTACCAGGAATGGACAAAAACAATGCTCCAGGGACCAGGTGCCACCCTGAGAACAGCCCTGAAGATACACCCCAGGCAATGGCTAGTAAAAGAACACTCAGCTGCTTGGGGACGGGGCTAGAGATAAGGAATGACAATGTCAGCCCAAGCTGACCACCCAGGACCAAGGAAGTGATAAAGGAGTTACAAAGAAATTATTGAGGCAGGTAGTGAGGGTAAGGAAGTCCTCAGTAAGGTTTTTCTTTTAATGAAAAGCAGCCCCCAAATCATTTTCTTTTCTAACAAAGAGCAGCCAGTATAATCGAGCTGCAGACACAGACAAGCAAGTTAGAAGCTTGCACCCATGAATGCCGGCAGTTGTGCCAGTAGGAAAGGGGCTACCTGAGGCTAGCTCCATCGTCCCTTCTCTTTGCCAGCCACATGTACAATGAGGAGCAGACAACATGGCGCCAGCCAAGTGGAAAGACCATTTGCATAATAAGATTAGGGTGGGGTGGCCAGCTTCACCACAGGATATGTAAAGTCACACCTGGTCCAACCAATCTGTGGGCCCCATGTAAATCAGACACTGCTTCCTCAAGCCTGTCTATAAAATCCGGTGCACTCTTCTGCCAGCCAGAAGTCCCATTCCTGCGCCCCTCTCTCTTGCAAGAGACGACGTCTCTTGGCATGAGAAGACAAACCTCAGATATTGCCCCAGACAATGATGCTGCTTCAGAAGTGGGGCCAAGTTGGGAGGCCAAAATGAAGCCAAGTTGAGAGCTATGGACCATCTGTTTGAGGATCTCCCTCCACTCTGCAGGGTTGAGGCTGCCTGGCTGGGGTCCACATTTCCAAGTCCCCTTTGCGTCTCAGAGAAAGCAGTGACCGGGTTCTGAACTATGGAATGAAGGTAGAAGTGGTGTTCCTCACTTCCTTGTTTGGCCCTTAGAGCTTCCTGCACAGTCCTCCACGCTCTAATTTGCCTCACCTGCCAGCTGGATATTAATACCCAGGGCTTCCATGGGGGTGTGCTGGGAGGAGGGCAGACCCCTGACTGTAGGACACCACCTCCTCCCCTACCGCTAATTGGACTTTCATGTGAACAAAAAAGAAACTCGTATTGTGTTAGGCCCTGGGGATTTGCGGGTTTATCCGCTACTAATGCAGTGCAAAAAGCTGGAGCCAGGCAAGACAGAAGGACTCCCAGAATCAGCCACAGCTCCTTGAATGAAGCCTCCTGTCTCTAGCAGTGTAGGAGCTGGTGACTGGGGTGAGCCTGGGGTAAGACTGGGGTAAGCTGGTGACTGGGGTGAGACAGGGAGGGTCAGGATCCCGCCTCTAACATTTACAGAAAGTATGTCCTAGGGCCAGGTACTTGCCCTCCCTGGGCCTCAGTCTTCCTCTATAATGCGGAGATAGTATTAGATCATATCTCAGAAGAATGTTCTAAAAGATGCCAGTGAAGGCCCACCAAGACACCCTTTCTCAGTCTGGGCTGCTAACAGCCCTCAGCTGCACCCTTCTCTGGAAAATTGCCTTTGCCCCCTTAAGCCGACTCACCTAGGGATTCCTAAGAAGCTAAACCCCCAGCCCTACACCCTGCCCACCCACCCCACCCTCCCACCCACTGACTGATAAGAGGAACCAAAGCCCTTGCCTCAAGGCAGGGCAACCCCGAGGTATCACCCAGGCTGCAGGTTGCCCGGTCGGGTGGGGCTGAGGCGAGACTCCAGACGGGGCTCCTCTGTGCCTGGCCTCCTCACGAGTTCTTTCTGGCTTCCCTCACTTTCATGTCAATTTCTCCTGTTAGCATTCACTCACTCACTCACTCACTCACTCACTCACTCACTCACTCACTCACTCACTCACTCAGCAGGCCACCTGCATGAGAATCTTCATCTCAAATCTGCTTCTAAAAAAGCCAACCTAAGACAATTGTGAAGATTAGATGCAATTACATGGGTCAACCAGTGCCTGGCATATGGAAGGTGCTTAGTAAAAGTGAGCTAGTACGGTTATCATTCCTCCAAGAGGCAAGGCTGAATGGAGACCCTAGTGGCCTCAGGCTGTAACGGTATTAACTACACCACCCCTGGGAGAGTTCACTCTCAACATTCATTTGTAATGAATGAATGTAAACCCTCAGCAAGGAGGAAAGAAAAATGTGAAACCTGGGTGTCCATGGACACAACTGGTCTCATGAATAAGCCATCAAGTATGAGTGGTTTAAGGGACTCCAAAGCTCACAACTTTCTAAAGTCACAGCTTGCCCCAAGCCCCCTGCTCTCTTCTGACAAGGTTCCTGAAATGCCTTTAGTGTTGTTAAGACTGGGGTAAGCCGGTAACTGGGATGAGACAGGCAGGGTCAGGATCCTGCCTCTACCACTTACAGAAAGTATGTCCGAGGGCCAGCCACTTGTTCTCCCTGGGCCTCATGTTGAAATGATAGAGGTGGGGCCTCATGGGAGGTGCTTGGACTCTTCGTTCTATGTCTTGGTGCCCTCTTCTCAATAATGAGTGAGTTATCACTCTATTAGTTTAGGCAAGAGCTAGTTGTTTAAAGAGCCTGGCACCTCCTCCCTGCTCTTGCTCCCTCTCTCACCATATGCCACACCTGCTCCCCCTTTGTCTTCACCATGAGTAAAAGCTTTCTGAGGCTTCACCAGAAGCCAAGCAGATGCTGAAGCCATGCCTGTGCAGCCTGCAGAACTGTGAGCCAAATAAAACTATCTTGTTTAAAAATTACCCAGCCTTAGGTATTCCTTTATAGCAACACAAACAGACTAATACAACCCCTACTCAAGATTGGTTCTTTGGAGTTTTGGACATGGCTTTAGAATGAAATGAACCTGGGTTCCACTCTGGGCTCTGCCATCCACAAGAGAAGTGTCAAAATCAAGCTCACATCTTAAGCAGAACAGGGCTTGGTACCAAGGAGTCTCCAGGTAGTACGGGTGGTCTGTACCCTGACCCAGGCTCACACTGTGCTTAAGTACTTTTGCACCATTAAAAGAAGTAGCCACAAATTCATAGTGACAGAAAGTACCACAGTGGTTGCCAGGGGCTGGAGGGAGGGGAAACAGGGAATTGGGGTTTAATGGGTTTCACTTTAGTAAAAATGAAAAAGTTCTGGAAATGAAGGGAGGTCATGATTGGACAACAATGTGAATATAATCAGTACAAGTGAACTGTACGCTTAAAAATGGTTAAGATGGTCAATTTTGTGTTATGTGTATTTTACTATGATTAAAGAGAGGGAAAAAAAAAAAAGAACATAATCTGCCAAAGACAAGGTGGCTGTGATGTGTGACTGTACAGTGGCCCAAAAGGGCATGGCTCAAGGAGCCCTCAAGAGTAGCATCTGAAGCAGCCACTGGGACCAGGCTTGCCACCCTTTCAGAGGGGTGTGAGGTGCAGGGCAAAGGGTCTGTAAAGGCTGGCAGGGAAGTGGGAAGCAGTGGAGAGCCAGGACCAGCCCTGGGCACCCAGAGGGGTTAGGGACCCTGCCACCCCTCCCAGGTTTCCAAACAAGGCCTGTGCCTGCCTGGGCTCTGACAGTCAGCCAACAAACAGGCATTTCCAGGTCTGCACCAGGCCCCGGGGATACAAAGAGGAGTGAGAGTTCCTGCCCTCCCTGGATCCTGCGGGGAAGGCTGACAGATACACCAATCCTGTGTCACGGGAACTGGGGATTGGGGGGAATGATGGGCAGGGGGCATCAGGGTTATCTGAGAAAGCTTCCCAGAGGAGGCGGTCCCTGGCTGAATTGAAGAAATTGCTGGGAGCTTCTCAACAAGAGCATTAGAAGGGAGTTGGGGGCACGAAGTGGGTGCTCATGTCAGGAGAAAAATCCACAAAGGCCTCTCATATGCACTCTGCGCCCTCCTCTCATTTTTCCAGGGTCCTGCTCCCAGCTGTGCAAGCTGCAAGGAAGAACGAGCCCCCTCCTCCAAGGCCTCGACGGTCCACTCAGTCACCCACTTAAGAATTCACCAAATAAGTAATGACTAAGTCTGACTGGGAGAAAATGAAAGCTCTCTTGGAGGGGAAAACAAGTTACTCATGCAACCAAGAGCATATCCTTGGCACCCTCCATGAGTGGAGCCACGGCAGGAGGGGCAGACAGGAACAAACGGTGGCCATGAATCATGCTGTGTGCGAGCTCCTTTGTTTCTAAGGCATGTGGTTTCCAGAGAAACCAGGGAACACTGCCTTCAGGTAAACACGCCCACCACCCATGCTTCTTGGAACAGGCTCTGTCCTCCAGGAGCCCCATTAAAGAGGCCTAGCTGCTTACATTTGTCAGTTGTACTTCCACAGGGGGGATTTCAAGTGCTAGCTGGCCAAGTCATCCAACGGGTGGCAATGGACCTTCTGTTGGCCGGGAGCATCCTACCCCGTGCCAGGTCCCTGGTCCCACTCTGCCCACCACCCTCTCACCCCCAGAAGAAGACTCCTCTGGTTGATGAGTTTGGCAGAAGAGTCTTGGTTTGGTCAGTTCAGCCCTTCTGCTCATGCTGACTCTCCCTCCTCCTCCTCTCCCTCCTCCGCTTCCTCCTCCCCCTTCTCCTCCTTCCCCTCCTCCCCCTCCTCCTTTTCCTTTCCCTCCTCCCTCTCCTCCTCCTCCTTTCCCTCCTACTCCTCCTTCTCCTCCTCCTCTTCCTTCATCTTGCCCTTTCCGATTCACTGTCATCAAGCTTGACTTCCCCAGTAGAGAGTTTTACAGCCATGATAACACAGTCCATCTTCTGGAGCTTAAGGCACTTTTACATATTATCTCATTTGTCTTGGCAGCATCTCTGTAAGGTGAAGACTTGATGCAAATAGTAAAATGGTGAGGGCAGGCTGAGGGGCAAGAGCTATAAAGAGACTTTAGTGGGGTTCAGTGCCAAAGTAGGGAAGGACTGGGGGGTCATGGGACTGATGCTCCCAGAGGACCTACTTAGCCGGGACACGGAGCTCCATGACCCCTTCCAATGAGCCTAGAAATGGGCTGCTTTAAAAACAGGAAACGTGGCCAGACGCGGTGGCTCACGCCTGTAATCCCAGCATTTTGGGAGGCCGAGGCGGGTGGATGACCAGAGATCAGAAGTCCAAGACAAGTCTGGCCAACATGGCGAAACCCCGTCTCTGCTAAAAATACAAAAATTAGCTAGGCATGGTGGTGCGTGCCTATAATCCCAGCTACTAGTGGGGGCTGAGACAGGAGGATGGCTTGAACCTGGGAGATGGAGGTTGCAGTGAGCCAAGATCGTGCCACTGTACTCCAGCCTGGGCAACAGACTGAGACTCCATCTCAAAAAAAAAAAAAAAAAAAAAAACCAAAAATGTGCTGTGGAATCAATGTGAAGGAGGGAATTAACTCTGCCTGGGGCATGCGCTCTGAAATGACAATGTGACATTTTTGCTTCACCTCAAAAGATTAGTAGTATGTTTCTAGAAAGACAGGAATGTGCTGGACAGAGAGGCGCCAATGTGCCTGCTTTTTTGGGCACCTGGTGCTTGATGGGGGCCGTGGCCAGTGAGAGGCCTGGCAGTCAGAAGACGTGCTTGAATGTCAGTCTGCAGGAGAGAGGAGCTGAGGGAGGATTTGAAAAGCAGGGAGGTGGGACCGCAGGTGTGCTTTCTGCTAAGTGATGTGCCAGGAGCCAGCGCTGCCCTGGCCCAGGGAAGAGACAAAGAGGGCCTGCATTAGGTCAGGCTCCTGGGAATGAAGATGAGATTCTTCACAGTTCGATGCTGTGAGCATATCACAGGGTTTAGGACATGGCCCTGCCCACAAGGAGCTTGTAACCTGGGGAAATATGAGCTGTAGACCGTGACCCGTTCAAAGGCAATCAACTTAGAGGGGGTATCCCTGAGTCCAACTGAAATAAAATTTCAGAGAAAGGAAAGATCAAGTATGGGTAAGATAAGTCTAAGAAGTCACATGAGGGAGAGAGGTGAGTGTTAACCAAGGGGGGAAGGAAGGCATTTCTTTCTTTCTTTATTTTATTGAAGGATGCCAAGTTGAAAGGAAAGCATTTAGGCGGACGAAAAGGAGGAAGGGCTTTCAGGGGAATGGGGAAGGGGCTGGAGTGAAGGCCCAGAGTTGGGATCAAGTGAGATCTCTTCTGTCAGCATCACATGTGTCCACAGATGGCCCCTTTTTCCTATCAGCCTGCCCTCTATCACCCCATCTTAACCCACACACCTCCCTCTGTTGATATTTGGTAGAAAATAATGAAAGCCATTTTGTGTGTATGTGTGTGTAATATATACATATTTTAGAGACAGGATCTTGCTCTGTCACCCAGGCTATAGTGTAGTGGCACTATCAAGGCTCGCTGCAGCCTTAACCTCCCAGGCTCAAGCAATCATCCTGATTCAGCCTCCCAAGTAACTGAGACTACAGGCATATGCCACCATGCCCAGCTAATTTTGTTCTTTTTTTTTTTCCTTAGAAACAAAGTCTCACTTTGCCACCCGGGCTAGTCTTGAACTCCTGGTCTCAAGTGATCCTCCTGCCTCCACCTCTGAAAGTGCTGGGATTGCAGGTGTAATTAAGCACTGTGCCTGGCCTGAAAGTCATTATACCACTCATTTTTATTAAAAAAAGTCTACTGTGGTTCCTTTCTCGGTGAAGGAATATGTGACTCATTGGGCATAGAGGGGGCCCAGGTCCCTCAGGAGGAAGATGGAAATTTTGAAAGCCCCCAAACACAAACTTCTACCTGCCTAGTTCTTTCTATCAGCAAATTTAAGCCCCAGCCTTATTTCTCATGCCTGGAACTGCTTGAGAGACACCAGCTGGCCCAGGGCACCTCAGAGAGCTTGCAACATATTAGTCCTCAACAATTAGTTGTTGAAAGAATGAATGAATGAATGAATGAATGAATGAATGAATGAATCAGAGCCCTTTCTCTCCCTTCCCCTGCCCATCACAGGCAACTCGCGGTGGTTCTGCCTCCCAGCTGGAGGGTGGGGTAGGGTGCATAATATTTTTATAGATAACAAAATGGGCTGGGTGTGGTGGCTCACGCCTGTAATCCCAGCACTTCGGAAAGCCAAGGTGGACAGATTCCTTGAGCTCAGGAGTTTGACACCAGCCTGGGCAACATGACAAAAACCCATCTCTACAAAAAATACAAACATTAGCCTCGTGTGGTGGTGCACGCCTATAGTCCCAGCTACTCAGGAGGCTAAGGTGGGAGGATCGCTTGAGCCCTGGAGGCAGAGGTTGCAGTGAGCTGAGATTGTGCCACTGCACGCCAGCCTGGGTGACAGAGCAAGACCTTGTCCCAAAAAAACAAAAACAAACCAAAAAACCCCCCACAAAGTGATGCTGGTAATAGCCACCCTCAACTCAGACTAAATGGAAATGACTCTGTGTCTCGGGCCATGGTTTCCTTATTGATAAAGTGGAGGTAATTATGTCTACATACTACTTGGGTTAATGTAAAAGTCAAATGTGAAAATAGATAAGAAAATGACTTATAAATTAAAGGGCACACCCCACATTAGAGGGATTTCCATCTTGGTCTATGCCTGGTACAAGGCCCTATTCATCTGCAGAATTAAAAAGTATCTGCGGATGCAGTATAAACCATCCTTTGCTTCACAGAACATGCTTCAGGTGATAGATACAGTTACTGCCCTGTCTCCAGAGACCTTGTCTTACTTCTGTGTCCCCAAGATTTTAAACAAGCAGTTAATGAATGCACCTGAACGAATGAAAATAATGAAAGCCATTCTATCTACTCAGCTTTGGCCAAATGCTCTTCTAGGTGCCTTACTTACATCATATCTCACTTCCTCAACAGCCCTGTGCGTAGGGGTGTCCATGTTTTACAGCTGAGGAAATGGAAGTTCTGAGAGGTTGTTAATAATATTGACAATAATAATATCCATGATTGCTAACTTTCACTGACCATTGATTATGTGCCAGGCACTGTCTAAACAGTGCAACACATCATCCCATTTAACCACCACAACAACCCTCTGAGGTCGTGCTAACAGAATTCCCATTTTAAAGATGAGGAAACTAAGACACAGTCAAGTAATGCATCAAGTTCACACAGCAAGTAAGTGACTGAAGGAGAGGATGAATGGGCACTAAGAAAGCATGTGTGATCAGCAGAAATAGGAAGTCCTTTCAATCCCCATCTTGCACAGTCCGATCCCTGAAGCAGAGGTCTGTGGCCCTGAGTGGGCCTGGGCCCCAGTGCCTTCTCCAACTCATCTGGAGGAGGAAATCACTGTGATTGCTCATGCGTCATGTCCTCCCACTGTGGGCACAACCCCCAATGCAGAGCTGTAGCCCTTTAGATGACGAAGGGCTCTGGGAACGGCTCCAGGGGAGGAGAGTTAATTAGTTCACAGCAAATAGAGCAGGAGCCTGATTACTCCCACTGCAGGAAGTTGATGACTAGTGATAAAGGCTGAGCAAGCCCCAGAAAGTTCTGTCCTTCTGCACCTGCACAGGTAGGAGGCTAGGGTCTCTCATTCCCCCAGGGGCCAGAACCACCACCCAGACAGGGCTTAAAGGAGCCTCCCTTGAAGTTGCTCCTGAACCACCCCACCCACCATTCACTGGATTACATGGCGACCATCAGCCATCTTCATATGGGTTCCTACCTCACCCTCAGGAGTCGGTAGAGGACAGAAGGCTGAGTTGGCCCTCAAGGCCCTGGGCTTCTTGTCTTCAATCCTTTTTTTTTTTTTTTTCTCTAAATAGAGACAGGGTCTCACTCTTTTGCCCAGGCTGGAGTGCCATGGCGCAATAACAGCTCACTGCAGCCTCGAACTCCTGGGCTCAAGGGACCCCCTGCCCCCGCCACCCTGCCTCAGCCTCCCAAGTAGCTAGGACTACAGGTATGCAGTATCATGCCAGGCTATTTTTTGTTTGTTTGTTTTTAATTTTTGTAGAGACAGGGTCTCGCTGTTTTGCACAGGTTGGTCTCAAATTCCTGGCCTCAAGTGATCTTCCCACCTCAGCCTCCCAAAGCACTGGGGTTATAGGTGTGAGCCACCACACCCACTCTCCATGATTCATTGACTTGATACTATGAGAGACCTATTTGCCCTTTCTAAGGTCTCAGGACACCCCATCTATGGAAGGCACCAGGGAGGGCCTAGGTTTGGAGGAAGACAGTCTAGGCTCAAATCTTGGCTTTTCATTTACTAGCTGTGTGAGGTTGGCCAGATTTCTTAACCTCTGAGCACAGGTTAAGTTTTCTTATTTAAAAAAAAAAAAAAAAAGGGCCAGGCGCAGTGGCTCACACCTGTAATCCCAGCACTTTCAAAGGCCAAGGCAGGTGGATCATGAGGTTAGGAAGTAGAGACCATCCTGGCCAACATGGTGAAACCTCGTCACTAATAAAAATACAAAAAATTAGCTGGGTGTGGTGGTGCGTGCCTGTAATCCCAGCTACTCAGGAGGCTGAGGCGCAAGAATCGCTTGAACTCAGGAGGTTGAGTTAGCAGTAAGCCGAGACCACGCCACTGCACTCCAGCCTGTCGTTGCAGTAAGCCGAGACTGCACCACTGCACTCCAGCCTGTCGACAGAGCAAGACTCCGTCTCAAAAAAAAAAAAAAATAGAAGAGTAAAACTAATGTTGAAAGAACTCAGTAAGACAGTATATATAAAACAACTATCCAACACAATATTACTCAAAAAAATTTTTCCCTTCTCTATTTATAAAATAGGATTAATCTTGCCTGCCTCTTCCTACCTCCCAGGGCCTGGGTGCCAGTGAACAGAGGTATGTATCCAGTATGAAAGTGCTCTGTGACCCATTATTTATAGGGAGTACAGCTTCCCTGCCATGCTTCAGGGAAGGTACAAGGTGGACCTCTCAGCGCTGGCTGGCCTCTCGCGTGTGTGAATGACTGAGGGCCCTGTGTGATGATTTCACTAGTCAGCTCCAAAGCAGGGAAGACAGTGAGATCTCCAGCCTTACACTCCCGTCTCTCCCTGACTGTCAGGGAGGCACCTCCAGCTCTTGGCAAACCTCAAGAGAGGTGAGAGTCCTGCCCCTGTGCCGTTGCAGGGAAGAACCTGGCCCCGGGAAGGCAGCCCAGAAGACCAGGATGTCAGCCCCTAGAGATGATAAGCTAGGCTGGAGCAGAGAGGGGAAGCCTCTCTGAAGACCAGTCACGTAAGCCAGAGATGGTCAGAGACTGGGAGGCTCTGGGCCTGTGGGAAGAGGCTGCAAGCCAGCCCAGGACTCTTGGCAGGTTTCCTGGCAGGTAAGAGACCATGCAGGGGCCAGCTCACCTGGGCTCCTGGGATCCCCACCTGCTGCAGTACCAGGGGACCTGGGGGGCAGGGACAAGTCCCTGGGAGGCTGGGGAACACAAGGCAGGCTCCAGGCTCAGCGGTGGTGGTACAGTCCGAGACGGCACCGTCCCAAGACAGGGTCCCAAGTGTGAAGACAGAGCTGTGCTGGGAAGAAGATGGAGGATGGGGATCGATGGGTTGGAAGGAGGCTTGTCATGGAGTTCCAAGCAGGCACCAAAAACCAGAGGGCTCGAGGCCAGAGCAGGACCAAGGTCAGACAACTGCCTGTGTCCTGCTCCTCTCTCTTTCTGACAAGCCGGACTACAACCTTGGGCAAAGGCACTCACCCTTCCCTCTCAGCACCATTTCCTCATTACAGGGCCCGAGAAAATAGTAATTATCTGCTTCAGTTTCAGAAAGTCTTTAAATAATTAACATTTGTGGAACGGCTTTGAACTCCTCGGATATGAGCTGCTGTGAAAATATTATTATTGTTTAAAAAAATAATACGTCTCAAATCATGAGCCGTTGCTAAAGGGTCTGTTATCCTTGGGGGTAGCTGTTTGCAAACTGATTAATTAGAACTCAATTTTTCAGACTTTTTAATTTAGATGTTAATAAATTCAATAATTTTATCCATTTATTGTACTAGATAAGATCCTTTGGGAATAACTTCTCATTTACAATAGTGACCTGGGCGAGAAGACTCAGAAACTGTTATATAAATGCCTGAGATAGGAAATGATGGAGATTGCACTATGAATAAGCAATCTTGCAGGGCTCCAAATTATCAGACCCACTACCCGACCCAAATACCACCACTAACTTGAATTAATATTCCTACAAGAAACATAATGCTTGCATAGTCTGATTTTCTGTTTAATTTCTCGACCCAACCATACTGACTTTTGCATTTCATTGACTTTGCCTCAATCTTTATCCAAAGGAAGAAATGTACAGAAGCAGAGGGAAAATGATTTCAGTTGTGTCTGTCTCCCCTTCCCCTTTGTCTCTGTCTCCTGCTCCCAGGCTGAGAAGCACGCCATCTGGAAGGAGAGACAGCCCCCAGCCACCAGGGGCCTTGGGTACCGGCACAGGAGGCAGGGAAGAGACCAGCCTACTGCCATGTGAAGGAGGGCACCCTTTCTCTGCATGGAGATGTCTGGAGATGGTGCCTGGGAGCTAGGGATGGTCAGAGATTTGGGGAAAGAGAGGGCTTCTGCCACATCCAGGAGGGTTAGCTCACAGCCCACTTTAAACTCCAGCCCAGAAACTCTCTGGAGTTGTCTCCGTCTTAGGCCCAGCCAGCAACACAGATCTGCATGGGGGATTTTATCATGGGGTGTCATCTTTCTCAAAGAGCTCAACTCCAGGGCCTTCTGGGTTTCTAGGACTATTTAGAGAGGACCCCTTCCCTCCTCTGAACGTGTTTGTCCAGCCTCAAAACCTCCGCATGGAGCTAAAGGCTGGGGCTTCCATTCAGGGTTCCCCACCCCTCTCCTCTGCTCCAGCCCTCTCCTCCCTCCTGTCACCTGGCCTCTGCTTTCATTCCCTTCCTCAGCCCATTCTAATCTGCAGGCTCTCCTAAGCCAAGTTTGGTTTCTCATTCCAAGTATACCCTAACTCCCTAAGCAACAGTAAAGATATGCCCATCTGCTCTCAGTTACCTGTGCCGAGATGGGAGGCAGTAGTCAGGACTCACACCAAAACCATAGGCCTTGCTCTCTGGAATGTGTTGGCAATGGTTTTATAATCTCCATTCACAGCTGCCTTTGTTAGGTCACTATTAAAATGAACTTCATTCTGCGAGCACGGCCCTGGTATGAGGTAGGTGTTTTGTGGGGATACATGGGGGCCAAGTGGCACACCCTCGAACTGAGTACCCTGTCACACGTGGGTCATGGAGCCAGCTCTACCCAGCTGTGTTCTTCCTCAGGTCTAGTTTTCCTGGGGAGGAACAAATAGCACCAACAGACCCAGGATCCAGTTGGATGCAGAAATTGTCTCTTGAAAGTGAGCAGTATACTCAGACCATCTGCTGAGAAGAGAGGTGAGAAAATAAATCCCCTTGGACTTAGACACAAGAAAGAGCAGCGAACATGTTTGGAGCAGACGGCTCGGGATCTCAGTCACATGGCAGCTTCCCTCAGCTGAGTGCACAGAGCCTGCTAACTCGTGTCATAGAATGAACCCAGTAGTATCTGCACCCTGGGTCACCCCCTACCTCGGGCCCCCACCTGTCACATCTGGGTCTCCGCCCCAGCCTCTCTGCTCCCTGTCTCACCTTCAATTCAGTCTCTGTTCCACTCTCACGGTGAGCATTCCAAAAGGCAGATCCCACCTTTCCAGGGTACCTTTCTAAGGCTCTAGTTTCTTCCAGATAAGATATAAACTCTCCAGTCATCTGGTGCCAGGGCCCCTCAGGCATTCCCTCCAGCCATTCTGAAGAAAGTTCATCCCCCCAAACACTCATCCCTGTCCACACTGCTCCTTCCCTGCCCCCTGCCTGGCTAATTCCTTCTCACCCTTTCAGATTCCCCAGGCAACCTTCCCTCCCCGCTCTTGAGTTTAGGCTCACTTCCACCCCTCAGGACTCACTGAAAGCCCCACGAGGGCCACTTCATAGCTCTCACACTCTCTTCATCTGCCTCTCCCTCTGCAGGGTGAGCTCCATGAGGGCAGGGGCTGTGTCCTGTTCTCAGCTGATCTCCAGAATCCGAGTCCCCAGAATCCAGTGTAGGAACTCCTGGGAAAAGCTCAATAGTTCATTTGCTTTCTTATCCTCATCACCAAAGCACGCAGAAGACTCACTGGGCCAAAGTAACCATAGCAGCCCATGGGAGAGTTGGTACAGCAAGTGCTTAAGCTGTGGGGCTCTAGACCCTGGGCTTGAAGCCTGACCCTGCTGCCCTTCAGCCACGTGACTGTGGCCAAGTTACTTAAGCCAATATTAGTACCTACTACAATGGGTTGGTAATGCATGGATTAAGTGAATTAATGTATGTAAATTGCTGAGAACAGGGTCTGACACACAGGAAGTGCCATGCACGTGTTTGCTAATATTGTTAGCAGGATGCTAACCCTTTGAGGGCAGGGACTGTGCTCTTCATTCCCAGATGTACACACAGTTCCTAGCATATAGTAGCAAAATTGTCTACTGGAAAGCTTGGGAGGGAAACAAAATTGGATTCATATCCTGGCTGTGTGCTATTGGGTAGGCTACGTGTTAACAGTGAAGCTGTCTCATTATCTGAAAAGCGTGCAGGTTGATGTGAGGTTGATATGGTTTAAATATTTGTCCCCTCCAAATTTCATGTTGAAATGTAATCCTTAATGTTAGATGGGGCCTGGGGGGAGGTATCATGGCCTTTGGGTCATGGGGGCAGATCCCCCATGAGTGGCTCCATGCTGTCCCCATGATAATGAGTGAGTTCTTGGTCTGAGTTCACATGAGATCTAGTTGTATTAGTCCGTTTTCACACTGCTCTAAAGATACTACCTGAGACTGGATAATTTATAAGGAAAAGAGGTTTAATTGACTCACAGTTCCACATGGCTGGGAAGGCCTCAGGAAACTTACAATCATGGCAGAAGGGGAAGGAGAAACAAGCACCTTCTTCACAAGGCGGCGGGGGGTGGAATGCCAAACACTTTAAAACGATCAGATCTCCTGAGAACTCACTCACTATCACAAGAACGGCATGGGGGAAATTGCCCCCATGATCCAATCACCTCCCGTCAGGTCCCTCCCTCAACACATGGGGGTAACAATTCAGATTACAGTTCGAGATGAGATTTGGGTGGGGACACAGCCAAACCATGTCACTGGTTGTTTAAAAGTGTGTGTGTGGCATGTTGCCCCCACTTCTTGCACCCTCTCTCACCATGTGATGTGCCTTCTCCCACTTCCTCTTCTGCTATGAGTAAAAGCTCCCTGAGGCCTCACCAGAAGCTGAGCAGATGCTGGCACCATGCTCCCTGTACAGCCTGCAGAACCATGAGCCAATTAAATTTCTTTTCTTTATAAATTACTCAGCCTCAGGTATTCCTTTATAGCGACACAAAATGGACTAATGTAGAGGTTTAGAATGCTGTTTGTAAAGCCCTAATTAGCACAGTGCCTGGCCCCTAGTGAACACTGGATAAATGGTGGCTGTAATCTTCATTAGTATTGCAGAATGAATGAGGTGACAGTGAGCAGCAGACCTCTGGGGCTGGATTTACTGATTACATGAGTAAATCTTCAGGAAAACTGCACTCCCATGGGCAGGTCCAACTACATAAAATTTGGAGACTGGTACAAAATGAAAATGTGGGACCCTGTTGTCTAAAAACTATTCAGAATCCCAAGTCAGCAACACCAGAGCATTAAACCAAGCCCAGAGCTTCCTCTGTTCACAGGTCATGAACTCATGAGGTCAGCCTGCCCGTGGGACCTTCCCAGCAATAGTTTCAGTGGGATAGGCTGAGGCCCTCTCATTTTGCAGGCCAGAGTCCCAGCCCAGAGCATTCAGGTGTCTCACATCACTTTTCTTCTGGCTCACTCAGCAGGGTGAGGCTAGGAACTCTTGGTGCCAAGTCTAGTGTCCCAGTGTCCCCAGTGACTATCAGTCCCCAGTGGCAGCCCCAGCACTCCCTCCTGCTTGGCTGAGAACCCAGATCACAGAAAGGGGATGATTTATCTTTAAGTTTGGATTTAAAATTTTAAATGGTACTGAAGTCAATCGAATGACTGGCCCCAAATCTGTACTCCCCTCTTACAGTATTAGCCATCCATGCTTGGCATGGCTTTAGGGTGAGCAGGGTGCACCTTACCACATCTTGCCTCTTGGCTTGCCTGTGTTACTTACTTAGGCCAATGGGAGTGGTTGGGCTTGCCATCTTGTATGCCTGTCTTTCACCATGGAAAGAACATGCCCTGGGTGTCCACCACCACAAAGAGGATGAGAGATGCATGGACTTGTACCCAACCCACAGTCTACACTCAAGCCCAGCTAAACTGGAGCAGCCGAACCCAGCCAACCTGCAGACAGAGGAGTCAGAAATAAATGCTTTATTGTTTTAGGTTGCTAAGTTTTCAGTAGTTTGTTAAGCAAAATTACTATGGCAATAGCTGGCTGATAAGTGTCTTATAACCCAAAGGATCTATGACTCACTGGGTGCAGTGGCTCACACCTGTAATCTCAGCACTTTGGGAGGCTGAGGCAGGAGGATCGCGTGAACTCAGAAGTTCGCGACCAGCCTGGGCAACATGGTGAGATCCCATCTCTACAAAAAATAAAAAAGCCAAGTGTGATGATGCGCACTGGTATCCCAGGTACTCAGGTGGCTGAGGCAGGAGGATTGCTTGAGCCCAGGAGGTCAAGGCCGTGGTGAGCCATGATTGCACCACTGCTCTCTAGCCTGGGGGAAAGAGAAAGGCCCTGTCTCAAAAACCAACAACAACAAACTATGACTCAATTGACTCCCTCTGAAGCTAAGGAGACTTTTTGTCTCATATGCATTTTCATGGCTTTTCTGGAGACACCCTAAAGCTGGAGGTCTCATGCCATCAGATCCCTTGATGTAAATGAAAGCATATCCATTGGATTTATTCTTCACTCTTTCCCCAGCCTCTTAGGCATCAGCAATTACTCCAGCTCCCTGCAGCTGAGATCTGTTTGCCCCTCCAGGGGACCCCCTTGGACAGGACCTAAGATGAAACCACACTGACCTTCTCTCACACAGAGCCCAAGGTTCCACATCATTTGACCTGGCGGACCCCTGGAGTACAGGCCGATCCCGGTGCAGCAAAAACTTGTGCTTCAAGGAGACTCAGACCCTGGTCAAATGTGTCCCCCAAACTGCAGGGAAACCATATTGAACTTTCCGGATGATCTGTTTCAAATTTTTCCATCTTGACTTGAGGAGAAGAAGGATGTACTTCCCATGCCTTATCATATAGGAAAATAGAACCCACTTGTTTTGTTTAATTTTTAGACACAGAGTCTATCTCTGTCACCCAGGCTGAAGTGCAGTGGCACAATCATGGCTCACTACAGCCTCGAATTCCTGGGCTCATCTCTGCCTCCCTAGTAGCTGGGACTACAGGCACACACCCAGCTTGTCACTTTAATTTATAAAGATGAAACAGTAGAACTTTCTCAGGTTGGCAATACTCCATGGATATTGTCATGCATCGATGCCAGAAGACTAATGCATCCTGACCTTGGGAAGAGGAGAACAGAAGCTCTGCATTTGGAATATTTCTGGATTCTTCTGTTGATCAATTTTAATCTGTATCCTTTTCCTGTAATAAATCATAACTGGGTGTCTAACAGCTTTCCATGAGTTCTGTGGGGACTTCTAGAAAATAATTTCAGGAGTTTTTGGAACCTCCTGAATTTGCGATTGGTGTCAGAGTGAGGGCAGTCAGGCAGGCTGTCCCCTCTAACTTTGCAATTGGGAGTCAAAAAACTTCAGAAACTGCTGCTGATGTTTACAGCTGCTCAGCAGCCCTGAGGCAAAAGAGTGGCTGGGAAAAAAATACACTGGAAGAACTCATGCTGGCCAGAGTTAATACACCTGCCACTATGCTGGAAGAGGAAGAATGGCTCAGCCTCCACTCCGGCTTCCTAATCTAGCTTCAAGGCACTTGTTGGCAGAATTAAACCATACTCAACACTCTGCAAACAAGGGAATCCGGGAACAGGCTTCTGAACAGGAGAGAGGCGGAGGAGGTGAACCAATCCCCCACGGGGCTCACCAGGACTCTCTCTGAAAATCCACTTCCTAATTTTCAACTCCAAAGCCTTTGAGGTCCTCACTAAGGATGAGGGGTTTGAGATGTATGTGATGGGATTGTGGAGAGCTCCATGGTAAATTCTGCAAAAAATCTCCCTCTTCCTTTGAATGATGTATTATCCAGGAGTTTCAGCCACAAGCACCATTTTATCATCTCATTACACCAATCACAGCTAAGGCTACAATAAACACTTGGAATAATAAGGTGCAGACACAATTACATGCTTTACCCTTCTCTGGTCTTTGAGAATAATAAACATGGTCACAGAGCCTGGTATTCAGATGAGGCTTTCCTGAGGACCCTTATTTCCAAAATCTGAAATTACCAGAAGGGTAAATTAAAGAATGAATACTCATTTGGTAAAAAGGATACCTTGTTTACAAAATAATTTTACTTTAATGGTAGGGATTTCCAGCTATTTACCACTTGTCAAACCAGAAGAAAGAAACTCCAAAGTGTTAGGAGCTATTGTTAAAGATCAATTAAGACTGTAGAAACCACATCTCAGAAACATTTATGAAATTAATTGAGAATTATAATTTGTATCACACACTGTTTCTATGAATGCATCTCTTTTCTAAAATAAGACCCAGCTGTAAATTATGGGGACAACATGGGTTGGTAAATGCTCTTCAGATGCCTGATGGGTGCATTTCCTGTCTCCCCTGGGTGTTAATCTCCTGCGTGGGAAGACTCTGTTTTCTGTGTGTATCACCTAGGATGCTTTTGGCTGCGAGTACAGAATATTTCAACTGAAATGGCTTAAACAATAAGGACATTTATTATCTCACAGGTCGAGCTGTCTGGAAACAGGAAGTTCTAGGCTTGGTTAATTCTGTGTGATGAAGTTGTCAGGCACCTGCTGCCTCCCCTCTTTGCACTCTGCCATCCTCAGTGTCATCTGGTCCCCTCAAGGTAGCTGGATGGCCGCTGACCACTGGTTCTCACACAAGCCCATCAGAAGGAAGGGAGGACAGCCTCTCTTTTACATTTCTTTTGTTGCCAGAGAGAAAATCCTCCCTAGTAGTTCTCTAGAAGGCTTCCCTTGCTGGTTCCTTAGTCAACGTTGGGTTTGACATGCACTCCACAGCTTTGAGAAAGCCTGGAAAGTGAAATGGCATTTGCAGCTGCTTCTATCTTGAGAGTGACGTTCTCAGCCACAAAGGAAGAAGGAGATTTAGAAACACTGTTGGTTCAGAAACCAAACATATCTGCCACAACACCCAGACCCTGCCCTCTTCTAAAGCCATAGGCCAAGGCTCTGGCACAGCAGGTGCTCAGCAAACACAAGCTAAGAAATAAAACATCCAAGAGCCAGTGCAAACCAGTGCTCACTCAATCAATCTCAATTTCCTAATGGGTATTTCCAATTTTGATATAGAAGCCTCCTACACAGGCACCAAGAGCCAGTCCCCCTTTGCCCACCTCTTGTCCAGGAGGTGGCTGGTCAGGCAAACCCATACCACAAGTAAGGGAGCCTTTTCCAGGTTTTGTTGTTATCTTGTTCTCAAGTCATTCAAGAGACTGACTTTCCTGGCAGTGGAAACCTGAAGACCCTTGCAGGAGAAGAGCCACTGCCAGGAGCAAAGCTGTCCCCACACAGATGAGAGCCTTTGCTAGTCTTGACCTCGGATCTGGAAATAGAAGGGTCTTGTTCATGTTCCCAAGGAAATTGAGGAGAACACTCTTGAGTTAAAACAGGTGCTTCACACAGGGCCCTTTAGAGGAGCTAAAACCAAATGGCTTTCAAGAGAAGAGAACAGTAGTTCAGAGACAAACTTTATCAGACGTTTGGATAGCCCCATCCCCAGCAGGGACCTGTGGGCCAGGACACTCCCTTTTCCTCAAGATGTAGCTGGGGACTCACTGAAATGTCACAGCCTCTTCAACTTGCAGTTGTGACAAAAACTCACTGATCTCAGTGGCCCCGTGGCCTCTTACCAGCATTCTGTCTGTACACTCAGCTTCTTCCAGGAAACCAGAGAAAAGGTAAAGGCTTCACTAGAGATCACATCAAGCACGGAAATCAGAAAGGGGCTTTGCCACAGATAATTTTGAGGTGAATGCCGGGTGCCTCCCAGGAAGCCACATGCCACTGGAGCCGGAAGAAATACAAAAGATACTCATTTAATACCTGAGGAAACTGAAGCCCCAGAGGGAGACACACAGGTATTTTGGCTCATTGGAGAAGCTAATGAGCCCACTCTCCACTCCTAATTAGTTGTATCATATTGGACAAGTTGATAACCACTTTGAATATTGGTTTCTTCATCTGTAAAATGGAGTTAATAACGTTGGCTGCACAGGGCTGCTGTGAGCATCAGACAAGATGAGGCGTGCAGGGGTGGTGCATCTTGGAACGGGAAGTCTCTGCCCAGCTTCCCTCCCCCGCCACCTCCCCACACTGCCTCGGGGCTCCTGGGGGCTGCAGCTGGCTGGGCATCCTCACTGTGTGGACACTATCCTCTCTCTCCACCCAACTCAGAGGCTGTCAGCTCAGGCAGACCAGGCAGGCAGGGGACCCCCTCCCGGGATTCCCCACACGGGAGTGTGGCCACCCTGGCCAGTGGGGCTGAGCCCTCTGAGGATGCACAGCTCCTCCCTCTCCTGCTTGCTCAGAGCCATCTGTTC
This sequence comes from Homo sapiens, assembly GCF_000001405.40. Taxonomy (NCBI): domain Eukaryota; kingdom Metazoa; phylum Chordata; class Mammalia; order Primates; family Hominidae; genus Homo; species Homo sapiens. The sequence goes on from NC_000001.11 coordinate 223,516,292, forward strand.
TTTGTCCCCATAGAGAGGCCAAGTCCCAGAGCCACGGGGAAGATGGCAACTGCTGCTGTAAGGGCTGGGGCTCATGCCTCCTACCACTTCCTTCCAATCCCACCCTGGCCTGCCCTCATGGGGGCCCCTGGGCCTGTTCCCAGGCTCAACCACGTGTCAGGAGCAAAGCTGGCCCTCAAGGACCAGGGACACCCTCCCTACCTCCCTCATGCCTACTCCTGGGAGGGGCTGGACAGGACCCATTGTTGTCTGGGTTCTGGGTAGTCAGTGAGTATCTAAATGAGAACAATAGCCCCATAGACCATTCTGGAAGAATGTCTTCAGGAAAATCATTGTTCATAGGGACCAGCCGTTCTGCCCCACAGCTCTCCTGGACTCTGGGCACAGGTGGGGAGGGCCTTGGGGTGTCCTAAGCACTATGCCCTGACCAAACACCAGCTACCTGACTTCTGGGCCCTTCCATTCCCTGCAAATCCCTCATTTGAATTGGAAATGACTCCTGCAGAGAAAGCTTCCAGCACAAATAGAGATACCCAGAGCCTGTGGGCAGCCCTGGGGTGGCAACCCACATTCCTACTTGCAACTTCTGGTGGGACGTAAGCACGAAGCATTATGCCTCAGGATGCTCTAAAGCTTGATGTGGAGACATGGCCTGCCTGACAAGGGATTGGTAAGGAATAACTGAATAGCAATTGTATTTTTAAAGCACTTTGCAAAGTGCCACATAAATAACTCCTCGTGTAAGTGATTGTCACATATATAAAATGCTATCGATGGCAGAAAAAATTATCTCTGGCGGCAGAGACACACATATCTATGCCAGGAAAGCAGGTCTCTGGTAGGGAGGCACCTGTGGTGTACTGAGAAATAAATGTCAGCAGAGACCTGTCCCTGTTCTTGATCTCCCCATTGCCACATGCAGACCACAGGAGATGTGTTTATGTGTGTGTGTTTTTTTTTTTTTTTTTTGAGACGGAGTTTTGCTCAGTCACCTAGGCTGGAGTGCAGTGGCGTGATCTCTGCTCACTGAAAGCTCCGCCTCCCGGGTTCACGCCATTCTCCTTCCTCAGCCTCCCAAGTAGCTGGGACTACAGGCACCCGCCACCATGCCCAGCTAATTTTTTGTATTTTTAGTAGAGATGGAGTTTCACTGTGTTAGCCAGGGTGGTCTCGATCTCCTGAGCTCGTGATCTGCCCGCCTCGGCCTCCCAAAGTGCTGGGATTACAGGCATGAGCCACCACGCCCGGCCATTTATGTGTTTTTTAAATCACCAGCAATGAAATCCACTTAAAATATTGCAACAGCCCTGATGTGGGGAACTTATGGTGACATAGATCGCACTGATTACTGCCTTTGATTCTTTGAAGAGTGTGAGAGACTAAAGCAGAACTATTATTTTTCAATCTTATCTGTGTTTGCTAGTTTTCTTACTCACTCCACATCTATAGAGGCTTCTAAAGGGGAGTAATCCTTCCACTAATAGCATGGCATTTGTATTCATTAGACAATTTATTTAACACAAGGCAGCTTTTAAAGGCCAAACAAGGCCAAGCACCTTGGCTCACACCTGTAATCCCAGCACTTTGGGAGGCCAAAGCAGGTGGATCACTGGAGCTCAGGAGTTTGAGACCTAAAGACTCCTCCAGAAAGCTCCTAGAACTGATAAAAGAATTCAGCAAAGTTTCTGGATGCAAGATTAATGTACACAAATCAGTAGCTCTTCTACACACCAACGGCGACCAAGCGGAGAATCAAATCAAGAATTCAATCCTTTACAATAGCTGTGAAAATAAAATAAAATAAAATACTTAGGAATATACCTAACCAAGGAGTCAAAAGACCTCTACAAGAAAAACTACAAAACACTGCTGAAAGAAATCATAGATGACACAAACAAATGGAAATATATCCCGTGCTCATGGATGGGTAGAATCAATATTGTGAAAATGACCATACTGCCAAAAGCAATCTACAAATTCAATGCAATTCCCATCAAAATACCACCATTGTTCTTCACAGAATTAGAAAATACAATTCTAAAATTCACATAGAACCAAAAAAGATCCTGCTTAGCCAAAGCAAGACTAAGCAAAAAGAACAAATCTGGAGGTATCACACTACCTGTTTTCAAACTATCTTATAAGGCCATAGTCACCAAAACAGCATGGTACTGGTATAAAAATAGGTGCGTAGACCAATGGAACAGAATAGAGAATCCAGAAATAAACCCAAATACTTATAGCCAACTGATCTTTGACAAAGCAAACAAAAACACAAAGTGGGGAAAGGACACCCTTTTCAACAAATGGGGCTGGCATAATTGGCTAGCCACGTGTAGGAGACTGAAACTGGATCCTCATATCTCACCTTACACAAAAATCAACTCAAAATGGATTAAGGACTTAAGCCCAAGACCTGAAACTATAAAAATTCTAGAAGATAACATTGGAAAACCCTTCCAGACATTGACTTAGGCAAGGATTTCATGACCAAGAACTCAAAAGCAAATGCAATAAAAACAAAGATAAACAGCTGGGACCTAATTAAACTAAAGAGCTTTTGCAAGGCAAAAGGAACAGTCAGCAGAGTAAATAGACAACCCACAGAGTGGGAGAAAATCTTTATAATCTATACATCTGACAAAGGAATAATATCCAGAATCTACAACGAACTCAAATAAATCAGTAAGAAAAAAACAAACAATCCCATCAAAAAGTGGGCTAAGGACATGAATAGACAATTATCAAAAGAAGATATACAAATGGCCAACAAACATATGAAAAATGCTCAACATCACTAATGATCGGGGAAATGCAAATCAAAACCACCATGAAATACCACCTTACTCCTGCAAGAATGGCCATAAAAAAAAATCAAAAAACAGTAGATGTTGGCATGGAATTCGAGTCCTGCCTGGGCAACATGGTGAAACCCCATCTCTACAAAAAACAAACCAAAAAAATTAGCTGGGCATGGTGGTGCATGCCCAAGTAGTTCCAGCTACTTGGGAGGCTGAGGTGGGAGGACCAACTGAGCCCAGGGAGGTTGAGGTTGCAGTGAACCATGATTGCACCACTGCACCCTAACCTGGGTGACAGAGTGAGTCACCGTCTCAAAAAAAAAAAAAGGTAGTGGATTGAACACATGGATCTAATATTCTTCCTTCACTAAACCCAACTAAAACTACAGTAGAGGATTTTTTCCAAATTAAAAAAAAAAAAAAAAAGGAAGCTGGAAAAAAGATGGACAGGTGGTAACTACCTTCTAAGCAGTCGTAAGGAAAACGAATCTGGCCATCCTCAGGCCATATCTCATAGGGACCCAAAAACAGTTATTTCCCATCCTGCTACCCTAGACACTGTCCCTTTGGATGACCACTGCCCAAGAGTCACTTGAGGGCAGCTTCTCCCTGTGGATGTGGCTCACTCTGTCCGGTGTCTCCCATGAGAAAGCCGGGAGACCCTTTACTCTACTCTTTCCAGGTGCTCCCAAAGCCATGACAACTCAAGAGGTCAACAACTCAAGACGACACCCCGTTCCTTTCCATCCTCATTGAGCCATCTCTGGGAGAGAGAAGGCCCTCCACTTCTTGGCATCACACTCCCAGTGCCTTTGCCACACTGTCCCTCCTAAGGGCAACTCTCTGTTTCCACCACTGGGCCAAGGAAGGGGACAAGTGCGAGGCCAGCACCTTCTTTCCCAGAACCAACATCCAGCCTGACACCCTGAAGTCCCCTTCCTCCATGTGTACCTTTAGAAGAAGGAACTTGTGCAAAAGCCTGCTGTGAAGCACCCCCACCTCCCAGAAGACCAGAGCTCAGGCCCAGGCTCCCCTTCACTGAGCACTATTGGCCCCAATATGAGCCCCTACTCCTTATGCAAGCTGTATTTTTTTTTTCTTTTTGGAGATAGGGCCTCACTCTGTCACAAGGTTGACTGTAGTGGTGCTATCATAGCTCACTGTAGCCTCAACCTCCTGGAACCAAGCAATTCTCTTACCCCAGCCTCCCAAGAAGCTGGGACTACAGACATGTGCCACCACACCCAGCTACGTTTTAAATTTTTATGGAGATGGGATCTTACTATGTTGCCCAGCCTGGTCTCAAATTCCTAGCCTCAAGCGATCTTCCTGCCTCAGCCTCCCGAGTCTCTAGGATTACAGACACGAGTCACCATGCCCATCATAAGTCATATTTTTAAAATCTTCTACAGGTGTTAGGGAATTGAGGAATAGATTGTGTCTAGCTTGTTTGCATTTACAATGATTATATTTGGTGAATTAGATGTAAAAGAGCCCCTCCTTACACAATATTTTTTAAATGTAATAGAATTCACTTTAAGATGTTTTAAATTTTCATTTCTAGTGGAGCTCTAGGCAATTGAATTCTTCAGCAGTCTACCATCTCTTAGTTTTTATCAGGTTCTGAGAAAAATGAAAAAAAAAATCAGAGTAGAAGATGTCATCAACATTACCATGACAAAGAAAGTTTTATTTTTCTGGACTAAGTGCCTTCTAATGTCAAAAAGAGAAAGAAAATGTTATTTTTAAAGAACAAAAACATTTCTAGGCTGAGCGCAGTGGCTCATGCCTGTAATCCCAACACTTTGGGAGGCTGAGGGGGGCGGATCACGAGGTCAAGAGACTGAGACCTTCCTGGCCAAAATGGTGAAACCCCATCTCTACTAAAAATACAAAAATTAGCTGGGCGTGGTGGCACATGCCTGTAGTCCCAGCTACTCGGGAGGCTGAGGGAGGAGAATCACTTGAACCCGGGAGGCAGAGGTTGCAGTGAGCTGAGATTGTGCCACTGCACTCCAGCCTGGTGACAGAGCCAGACTCCGTCTCAAAAAAAAAAAAAAAAAAAGAAAAAGAAATCTAAATTTTTTGTATGTGATGTTTGCTTTTAATACTAAAACCAAGAAGAACTGATGCTTATGGAGTGTGTGCCCAGTGCTTGTCCCTGAACTCAGTGCTGGATGTGCATTAATTCATTCAAATCTCACAGTAACTTAGGCCAGCAGGAGCCACTACTAACTACCCCATTTTACAGATGAAGAAACTGAGGGTTGATGAGATTAAGTAACTCATCCAAGGTCCCATGGCTAGTAAATGGGTATCCAAAATTTGTCTGACTCATAGCCTGAGTTTTAGCCACTACACATCCTGACCTCTTTCTTTTTCATTTTTGTTCGAGACAAGGTCTGGCTCTGTTGCTCAGGCTGGAGTGCAGTGGCGCTATCTCAGCTCACTGCAAGCTCTGCCTCCTGGGCTCAAGTAATCCTCCCATTTCAGCCTCCCGAGTAGCTGGGACTACATGCACATACCACCACATCCAGTTCATTTTTGTGGGGTTTTTTGGTTGTTGTTGTTTTGTTTTGTTTTGTTTTTTTGTAGAGACGGGGTTTCACCATGTTGCCCAGGATAGTCTCGAACTCCTGTGCTCAAGAGATCCACCCACCTTGGCCTCCCAAAGTTCCTGGATTACAGGCATGAGCCACCATGCTCAGTCGTATCCTGACTTTTCTGGAATTTTGTCTACAATTTCTCTATTTATGCTGCCTCTAATACTTCATTTTTTCCAGGCTTAAGGAAACTGAACTTCCGCCCAGACAAAGAAAGACTTTTCTGTCCTTTCAGATACTCCTTTATTTCTTGAGTCAAAGTGCAAACTTCCAGAAATCGGTTTCTCTGCCAAGGTATGTCAGAGTCCTAAGCACCCGAGCCTTGTTGCTGAATGGCATCAGGATCAAAGGCCTGTGACAGTCTAACTATCCTTGTTGTGCTTTCTCGAGAGGCCTATTCTAACACCTTTTTGTTTGTCCAACAGTGAGACTGAGAAGCACTTTCTAAACTTTAATTAGGCTGCTCTCCTGGGATTCTGTGCTCAGAGAGTCCTTCCCTGGCCTACAGCAGACAGGCTGCCCCTCTGGGCTTAGTTGGTGCCCTGGGTCCCCCAGAACACCCTTTTCTCATCCTTTCTGGGCACACAGAAACCTCCCAGATCATCCATGCCCAGTAGTTACCAAATGGGGCCCTAGCGGACCCCCCTACTTTGAGCCCCCCACCCTTTTAAGTACTCCACGTACCGCAGATGAAGCTGCCACAGTTGCCAGCACGTCAGCACAGGAACCGCCGCAGTCTGTCCCCCTTCCCCACACATCCCACTTTGACTCTCCATGTCGCCAGCTCCCGTTAAACTGGGCTCTTCACATCACTCCTGGGTTCTGCCTTTTCCATCTGACTACGTGGTGACCATCTATTCAGCTCAGGCCCTGGCCCCCTCAGACTCCGTTTCCACTGTTTGCTCATTGTCTCCCCTGCACCCCGGCCTCACAGGGTACCCCCACAGCTGTGCAGCCATCCACAGGCCCTTCCCATCTAGAGAGGGAAGCCGACAATGGAATCCCATTGGGGAGAGCCAGAAGGAGCATCCATAAAGTGCTAGACACTTGGCAATTGTCACTTAATCCTCACAACAACTTGTAATTTATTTATCCTCCACTTTATTCCAGAAATGGGTTAAGAAGCCTTATGAGACTACATAAAAGACCAACTTAGCATGAATTAAAAGCAGAAGCAAAAGAAGAAAGAGAAATAACAGGGCACATAAACCAAAATTAAAGAGCAAAATGTGCTACATAAATTCTTCGCTGTGTGTGGCTGTAACTTTGTCTCTGATATCCCCTTGCAGCCAAGAAGGGAAGGGGAGCCTGAGCGGTGCCGGAAGGCAGGTATTACCATTTCTGCTTTACAGGTGAAGAAGTAGGCCAGAGGTTGAGGGGTTTGCCCAGGGTCGCACAGCTGAGAGGTGGCAGATGAGACTTAAATCTAGGCCTACCCAGACAGAAGGCACTGTTTTTTGGGTTTTGTTTGTTTGTTTTGGTAGAGGCAGATCTTGCTATGTTGTCCAGGCTGGTCTCGAGCTCCTGGCTTCAAGCAATCCTCCCTCCTCAGCCTCCTAAAGTGCTAGGATTCCAGGCATGCACCACTGCACCCAGTCTCCAAAGGCACCTTCTAAGTCTTGTATTCATATTTAGGCTCTCCTGAGATCTGTCCCAGGGGCGCATCTCCAGTGTTCTTCTAGGACCAGAACTTTCTCCTGAATGAGAGGTATCCATCAGCTGCCATGGCTCTTCTCCAGCCACTGTGGCATCACCTGGACAATGCAATGGGCTTGTCTCTCCTGGGATTGTGGACAGTGGCAGTGGCTGTGAGGGAAGTGGGCTGTTATGGCGGCTCTGTCCTAGTCAGAGCAGAAACCAATCAACCTTTGGTTAAGGCAGGGCCAAGGGAGGGAGAGATAAAGGGGAGGTCCTTCAAGACATCCACACTTCTGTGTAACGGCCCTGCTCCCTGCTCCATCCAAAGGCAGCATACAACTAATAGACTTGTCATCTCGGGCGATAACATTAGCCTCATCATTACCATTTTACTAAATAAGTCATTTCAAATTAATTACCTTGCACTCTTTCAAATTAGCTCTGGTTGACTCCTCCATTCCTACTGATTATCACATTGGCAGAATTCATTAGTCCTGTAGATAAACTGAAGTGGTTGTGTGTGCACTGGGTATATAGATGAGCTCTTCCTCCCTGACACATGTGCCAGGGAGCCCAAGTGCATCCAGGAGGCTCCAGTCTGCAGTTGGGCAGCATGGCCGTGGGCCCATTGGTGACATCTCCCAAGTCTGGGACCCGTCAACTCTAGTCATTACCCTCGAAGGTTGCAGCATCCTATGAACAGCCTTGTCACTAGTTGGCTTTGTCCTTTGCCTCCCTCTTGGGTTCCATGAGAAAATCATGTGAATGAACATATCAATTGCTTTCTTCTCTATTTGAGGGTCTCAAAGAAGAGCCGGAGATCTGAGGGAAGGGGATAAGGGGAGGCACGCATCTTGAGCACCTCACTTTAACCTCTCTAAGCCTCAACTTCCTCAGCGGTCAGTGGGAATGATGGTATCTACCTCATAGGATTATTGTGAGGACTACCATTTGCAGTGTTGATAGCTAATTAAAAGAAAAAAAAAAAAAAACAGAGATAGGGTCTCACTATGTTGCCCAGACTTGTCTTAACTCCTGGGCTCACACTTGAGTTGAGCCCAGCGACCTGCTCATTTTAGCCTCCCAAAGTGCTGGGATTACAGGCATGATCCACCATGCCTGACCAGTAGCTACATTTTAATGGCATATTTACCATATTCTGGACACTGTTCTGAACACATAGACCAATTTACTTAATCTTGACTATAACTCTGTGAGGTAGGTACAATAATTATTCCCATCTTCATATGAGAAAACTTAGGGACAGGAAGGTCAAAAATAGCCAGTTGGCCCATGGCCACACAGCCAGTGAGTGGCAGAGATAGACTCTGAAGCTAGAAGGTCACCTTTACAACCCTGCTCCTAGCAGTTAAGCTTTGTGGATTAAATGAGATAATGCATAAAACATTTAGTAGACATTCTGGCACTTAGGAAAACTCAATAATCGTTAGCTATTATTGTGGTTAATTATGCATAATAAAAATAGTAGGATGGAGACAAAGGCCAAACAGGGGTAAAAACACAAAAGTTTTTGATTGGAAGAGACCTTGATGATGCAGGGCAGGTGAGCCTCATTTTTGGGCTTAGCCCAGGAGGGCTCTTGGCTTCTCTCAGGAAAGCATTCAAGAGCAAGCCGGCAGTAGAAGACAGCAGGTTGACTGGAGAAGCAGCAGTGTATAGTGGCTGCTCCCTGTGGAGTGGGGTTAACCCATAGGGAGTGCACTTAGAGTAGCAGCACATGGACTGTTGGCTGGCAATGTTTAAAGTTACTTCTTGATTACATGCTAAATATGTGGTGAACTATTCATGAGTTTTCCAGGAAAGGGGTGGAAAGTTTTCCAGAGTCCTCCCCCTTTTAGACCATGTGCAATAACTTCCAGAAGTTGCCATGGCATTTGTAAACGGTCCTAGTGCTGGTGGGAGTTTCCTCCAGCATGCTAATGCATTATAATTAGCATATAATGAGCAGTGAGGAGAACCAGAGGTCGCTTTCATCACCGTCTTGATTCTGGATAGTCTCAGCTGCCTTCTTCACTGCATTCTGTTTTATCAGCAGGGGTCTTTGTGACCTGAGCCTTGAGAAACAAGTTCTGCCAAATCCCTATCTCATTACACCCTAGGCTCCTAGCTTTACGGGCTTCCCACTTTTGCCCAAGACATCCCTGTTGAAAGAGGTCATAGTCTTGAATCCCATTTCAGAAGGTGCTCCCTTCATAGACACTAGTAATTTTCCCAAACACAGATTATTAGTTTTGGAGAGCTAGAAAGGATGCTGAATGACCATCTAACCCAACTCCCCTCACATTACAGATGAGGAAACTGAGGCCTGGAAAAGTCACTGAGCAAGTGAGAAGAGAGCCCGGCAGGGAGCCTGAGTTCCCTGACAGTTCAGAGTTTTTTCTCCACAGCATGCTAGAAATCCTACACTCTTATTTGCATGTTGCTTTCCATAAATTTGCATGTTGGTCTCCAAAGACTCAGTATGTGAAACAAAATAAAAGAATGTGGGCACTGAATTTAAACTTAATAATCAACACTCTTGAAATGCAGAACAGAGCCCCGGGCTTCAAGGAAGGGAAGACAGGAGTTGGGATGCAGCCTCTCTCGGTGCACAGGTAGGCAGGTCTTTATGATGGAGGGAGCCAATCACCTCGGTGGCCAGCATGACCCAGGAGCTGCTACAGGAGCCACCAGAGGAAGCCCTCCACAAAGCCCACCCAGAACTAGAACACAGGTCCATGACACAAGTTCTCTGAGAGCAGCCTTCATGGGCACTGAGGCCCAGAGAGGTGAAGGGACTTCCCTAAGTTGAACAGTCAACTTAGGGAACTTAGAGGTGAAGGGACTTCCCTAAGTTGAACAGTCAACAACAGAGCCTGGACCACGATCCACACCTCCTAACTCCCAGCTCTACAAATTGTTGCCATCTTCAGGTTGAAGCTACCTCAAGGCTCTACTGAAGCACACTCTCCTCCCTAGCTGGACAGGAGGAGCCTCAGGATAGCCACTAAGCCTCCCGTATTGGCTCAAATCTGTTTCTCCTTGGAAAACCCAGAGGCCAGGAGCAGACAATCTCAAGGACAGTAGGTGCTGGGGCTGTAAGGACACATCCTGGGTGGTCCCCGGGAGCATGTCGCTGGGGCACATAGGCCCTAATCCTGGTCTGCTTGGTCTGGCGTGATAGGAAGTGAGGCAGGGGGAGGGAGAGAAGTAAAAATACCCACTGAAGCACAAATGGGGAAAAAAGCCAATGAAGCAGCCACAGCCCTGGCTGGGGGAAGAACAGCCAGGACTGGGGCTCTGGGAGTAGGCAGCTCTCTCCTCTGGGGCCCCAGTAGGAGCAGAGATGACAGAGGAACACAAGGCTGGGCTGTGCCCTTCCCCAGCTGGCAAAAGAGATCCAGGGAAGCTGACCTCAGAGATGTGCTAAAGAGAGGCTGGACTGGGGACGTGGGGACACCAAGAACTCAGTAGAGGCTCTTCTCCTTCTTGAAAACAAAAACTGAGGTCACAGTCAGCCTGGAAGATGCACCCTTCAGTCTGCAGTGGCTTGGCTTTGCAGATACTTGGCTGAATACAAGGAACTTACTGATTAATTCCATGCAAAGCCTTGCCCGTTGCAGACTTCAGGGAAATGGTTCCTTCTCCAGAGAGGGTAAGAGACAGGATAGAAAAACCATCTTTCCAGAAGGGACTGAAGTTGTGCCTGGGGTGGGCAGATGGGACTTCACTGGCTCAAGTCCAGGGCCCTGCAGGCCCTTCCTCTCTGGTCCAGGGCCCTGGTCTTCTCTCTCTTCCAGACTGGGAGGCTCAGACTGCACAGGACATAATTGGGGTTTTAGCATGTTGGAAAGAAGTAAAGAAACTCTTCCTTTTCCCTTCTGTAGTGGGTGTGGGAGGTATAAGGAGGAAATAATTTTTTCTCTACCCTTAAAACTCTGTAACAAAAGACAGATTAACAGGAAAAAAACAAACACAAGTTTATTAACATGTGTACCTGGTAGATAACCAGGGAAAACAGGAAATCTCCAAGAGGTGGCTTTGAATTCAGATTTAAATATCATCTTCAGCTGACACAAAGAAAGAAGGATATGGAGGGGGCAGTGATGGGGGGGAGGTAACCAGGAAATCAGGGTAAACAAGGCTGAAGTATGTTATGCAGATTTAATGTGGTACCTTCTCCATTGATAAGAGTCTCTAGTGATTTAATAGAATGTTTTTCTTTCTGCAACAGAGAGGGAGACACCCTTACAAATGGAGATTTTCTTTATAGATATAAATTTTTCTTACAAAAGAATAACTTTTACTCTGTTTTCAGGGCTTTTCCTGTGGCTGCTGAATCTTAAAATAATCCTCGTGCCAGAGGCATATTTTGGGATGGCATATTCTGCTCTGCTACAAAGGGGATGTTGGCAGTGTGGGTAGATAATTTTTAGAGGATGAAGAAGGAGGAAAGGAGGGCACAGGTTGAAGAAGTAGCCCCAGCAAAGGTGTGGGCACATGTCTTAGTCCATTTTGTGCTGCTATAACAAAATACTGGGTAATTTGTGAAGAAGAGAGATGTATTTCTTATGGTTCTGGAGGCTGAGAAGTCCAAGATCAAGCATCTGCATCTGGTTAGAACCTTCTTGCCATGTTGTGTCATAACATGGCAGAAGACATCACATGGTGAGAGAGTGTGCCAGAAAGGGCAAGAGGAGACTTACCTCATTTTTGTAACAAACTCACTCCCAAGATAATGACAATCTGTAAGCAGATAGGGAGGGTCTTCAGGGACCATAGAAATCCATCTAGTTTGAGCAATCCACCTGCTTTACAGCTTCCTATCTTATAGTCTGATGTTTTCAAGCCCTGTGTGGAATGTGGTCTCCTAGTCAGCTGAAACCAGCTCCTGACAGAGACCAGCAACTTCCAGATGGATCAGAGTAAACTTTCTTCATTGCCATACTAAATTCTACACCTCAGGAGGATGTATAGCTTCATTATCATAACATATGGCCTAGTGCCAGCGTGATGACTCACTGCACCTACGCCAGTGAGACCCTCCTCTACATACGATGATGCATCTTCTCCCCTGTCCATTGCCCCATTAAACCCTCCTGTCACTTTCCCTTGGGAGCACTGCTTTGGAGAATCCTCTTCCTACCTGTGACAAACAATTAAATTCCTATTGATCAAAACCTGCATTCTCGTGGAGAGTCATTTGGTACTTGCCAGGCAAATGGACCCCAGTTTTTTGAGTAACAAATCCATTCATGAGGGCTCTGCCATTAACACCTCCCATTAGGATCCACCTCCCAACACTGTTGCATTGGGGATTAAGTTTCCAACACATGAATTTGGGGGGACACATTCAAACCATAGCAGCACATTGGTGACTTTTGTTAATACCAAGTTTTAATGCTGGGAGATTAAAACATAGCAATGAAGCTGAAGAACAGTCTGGAAAAATGGCTTGGGACCCATTCAAGAGGGGTCTTGAGCACTCTCCTAAGGAGTCTGATGTTCATTCTGTTGGCAACAGGACACCACTGAAGGTTTTGAGAAGAGAAGAAATGATGCACCTTGAAATGAAGCTGTAGGCAGTAACTTCTAACATGGGAGACAGAGAAGCAAGAGTTTGAAAAGAGAAGGATTTGTTAGGAGGCCTCTGCACATGAGCAGGTCAGGAGAGACAGAGCAACAGCCTGAATTCCAGTCGTGGGGAGGATAGAGGAAACCAGAACAAAATAAAAAGAGAACTGACAAGAATCAGCGACGGATTAGCCATGAAGATGAGGAAGAGGAAGAATTAAAAAAAGAATGAGTTTTGTAGCCCAGATAGCTGTGTGATAACATTAAGTGGCATCAAGGACCTGGAGAGAAAAAAGAGGTATAAAGGAAGAAGAGTGAGTTCAGTTGGGAACATGGAGAACTCAGATATCCTGAAGACAACCTCGTGGAAATCCCCAGAAGACAGATGGAAACTCAAGACCAAGTCAGAGATATTTGGGCTCAAGAAGAGGTGGGGATTTGCGAGTTAACAGTATCAGGGAGCCTGAGAAGGAGACTGAGACGGAAACCCAAGGGAATGCAGAGCTGATGACAGAGAGCACAGACAAGTCCTTGATAGCTAAAGATGATGAAGCCACCCATAGGTAATCAGAGTCAAAAAGAAGAAATCTAGGAGGGATGGGACAATGAGAAAGTGGAGCCCCAGAGTATACAAAGTTGCTTCAACTCCCAGGGCCTTGTGGGAAATAAGAATTTCTATTTTTGTGAGAGCCATAGGAGTGTTGAGAAAAACAACATGTGAATATTCTGAGTTATTCAGGAAAGATCAGATGCTCATGCCTGTAATCCCAGCACTTTGGGAGGCCAAGGCAGGTGGATCACTTGAGGTCAGGAGTTCGAGACCAGCTTGGCCAACATGGTGAAAGCCCATCGCTACTTTTAAAAAAATGCAAAAAATTAGCCGGGTGAGGTGTCACGCACCTGTAATCCCAGCTACTCGGGAGGCTGAGGCACAAGAATTTCTTGAAACTGGGAGACAGAGTTTCCAGTGCAGAGAGAGATTGCTCCTCTGCACTCCAGCCTGGGTGACAGAGTGAAACCCTGTCTCAAAAAAAAAAAAAAAAAGATGCATTCAATGTGATATGACTATAGACTCTTCTGAGTTATTCAGAAAGATTTATATATCTCAGATTATTATGACTTTGCTCTCTTCAGATTAATCCTCTCTTAATGAAATAAAACAAAATCTTTTTTCATCACTTTATAATCATAGATATGTGAAAGGAAAATAAATCTTGGGACCCCAAAATCACTAAGCCAAAGGGAAAAGTCAAGCTGGGAAGGGCAAACCTGCCTCTCATTCTCTTCTTTAAAAAGATAGCTACTAAGATAAAAAAGCTATATACCTACCTCACAAGGAATTTCCTTGTGGACAAAGGAAAGACGGAACTCAAAATCATCCCTCTGCTCACTGAGGTAAGTGCATATCTGATTGCCTCCTTTTGAAAAGCTAATCAGAAACTCAAAAGAATGCAACTGTTCATCTTTTATCTACCTATATGACCTGGAAGCTCCTCTACTCACTTCAAGTTGTTCTGCCTTTCTGGACCAAACCAATGTTCATCTTACATATATTGATTGATGCCTCATGTCTCCCTAAAATGTATGAAACCAAGCTGTGCCCCGACCACCTTGGGCACATGTCATCAGGATCTCCTGAGGCTGTACCATGGGCATCCATCCTTAACTTTGGCAAAATAAACTTTCTAAATTGACTTAGACCTGTATCACATATTTGGGGTTCACAGATGGTTGAAATATTATAAAGAAATAAAAACTTCCATTAATGTCACTTCCATCCTTCATTGGCTCCAGCCAAAAACATTGTCATCATTGTCAACTCCTCCCTCTGTTTCTACTGCATATTTAACAGAAGCACAGAGCTTATAAACTCTCTTTGCAAAATGTGTCCAGAATCCGATTCTTCCTCATGACCTCTGCTGCAGCCAGACTGGCCCATGCCTCTGTCCCCTCTTACCTGTGTGTGGCCACAGCCTCCTGGCAGTTTCACTGCTGCTCCTAAAATCACCTCTCCACTCAACAGCCAGAAAGGTCCTGATAAAATGCAGGCAGGGCCCTGTCACTCTTTAGTTCAAACTGTCAGTGACTTTTGTCTTAGTCTGTTTGTTCTGCTATAACAAAATACCTGAGATGCTATTTTATAAATAATGGAAATTTACTTCTCACAGTTCTGGAGGCTGGGAAATCCAAGATTAAGGCCCTGGACAGGTTTGTTGTCTTGTCAGGGCCCTCTTGCTGTGTCCTCACATAGAAGGGCAGAAAGGACACCTAAGCTAGTTCCTTCCAGTCATCTTATAGGCACTAATCCATTCGTGAAGGCAGAGCCCTCATCACTTAATTACTTTCCAAAAAGGCCCTATCTCTTAATACTATCACAATGGGGAGTAAGTTTCAACATGAATTTTAGAGGGGACACCATCATTCAAACCACAGCAACTTCCCATCTCACTAAAGTAAAATCCAAAGTTGTTCCAATGGCCTAAAGGCCGGACATAACCCAGCTTCTGCTCTCTCCCTCCATCTCTCTCCCAGCTATTTCTAAACTTTTCATGTCTGTGTTCCTGTGCTTCCTTTCCCTACCTGCTCTCCTCCTGAATATCCACCCAGCCCATTCCTCCACGTTTTTCAGGTCTTTACTCAAAGGCCATATCCTCAGAGAGGTCTTTTCAGACCTTTCAATTTACAATTGAATGCTTACCCCTTCTATACACACACACCTCCTTTCCTTATCCTCTCCCCACCCTCTGCTTTATTTCTCTTCTAATAAGATGCTGTCGATACTACATAATTTACCCATTTATTTGATTATTTTCTGTTTCCCTAAACTAGGATGTTACCTAAAGACAAGGATAGTTGTGTTTTGTTCACCGGTGTGTTCCAAGGACTAGAAAAGTGCCTGACACCTTGTGGGTGCTCAAACATCTATGTGGAATGACTGACTGCAGCCTACGGGATGATGCCACCTTCTATGTGGGCTGTGATGAGTTGCCCCTCATTCCATGCCAGGGTCTGCCAGTAGATGGCGCGAGCAGCAGTTGAATCCACTTTGCAGTTTCTCCTGTGTTTGTAGAATCAGCCTTCTCCTCATGGCATAGCTTCGTCCTCCCCAAGACACCAACTCATCAGAGGTCTGAGTTTCAGCTCGACAGGGTCTCTTTTTAAAGTCTTAATAATTCCAACCTCATCCCTTTGTTCACTCAGCCCCACAGACAGTGGCTTCCTCCTGCAGTTGCTAACGCCATGACACCGTGAAGTGCTTTTTTTTTTTGAGACAGAGTTTTGTTCTGTCACCCAGGCTGGAGTGTAGTGGTGCGACCTTGGCTCACTACAACCTCTACCTCCCGGGTTTAAGTGATCCTCCTGCCTCAGCCTCCTGAGACAGGCGCATGCCACCACATCTGACTAATTTTTGTATTTTTAGTAGAGATGGGGTTCACCATGTTGGCCAGGCTGGTCTCGAGCTCCTGGCCTCAAGTGATCTGCTTGCCTTGGCTTTCCAAAGTGCTGGGATTACAAGCATGTGCCATTGCACCCAGCCTGCGGTACTCTTTTTATCCATTCAGTTACTAGTTATAATGTTATACTTTCTTGACAATTTGTTGCATTAAATTCTTTCTGTCCAAATAACTGGTGCAGTTTTAGTCTCCCAATGTATGGACACGGCAGATACAAGACACCACTCAGGATAACCACCTGTGCCTACAGCCTTCCCGCCTGGCCTCATACCTGTAACCCAGGTGCAGAGGGTGGGCAAGGGCTCCCTGGCCCTCCCAATCCAGCTTCCATTGAAGGCAACTCCTGTTTCACACTCTCCTCTGTTCCACAGACCCTCTTCTGAACCCTGACATGAAGCTCGTGCTTCTCTGTACCCTCACCACTCCCTACAACTGTCCCCACCATTGCTCCTATCATCTCATTTTGAAGCTGCTTGTTTTTACACTTGTCCCCCTCTACAGACTGGTGACACACCCAAAGGCACGGCCATATATTATTCATATCTGTAACCCTACTGCCTTGCATACTTCACCCTTGCCCCACTCATAGTAGCTGCTCAGTAATATTTAATGAGCCTAATAAACATTTGACAACCCAGATATTTCTTTTTTTTATTTTATTATTATTATACTTTAAGTTTTAGGGTACATGTGCACAATGTGCAGGTTAGTTACATATGTATACATGTACCATGCTGGTGTGCTGCACCCATTAACTCATCATTTAGCATTAGGTATATCTAATGCTATCCCTCCCCCCTCCCCCCAACCCACAACAGTCCCCAGAGTGTGATGTTCCCATTCCTGTGTCCATGTGTTCTCATTGTTCAATTCCCACCTATGAGTGAGAACATGCGGTGTTTGGTTTTTTGTCCTTGCGATAGTTTACTGAGAATGATGATTTCCAATTTCATCCATGTCCCTACAAAGGACATGAACTCATCATTTTTTATGGCTGCATAGTATTCTGTGGTGTATATGTGCCACATTTTCTTAATCCAGTCTATCATTGTTGGAGATTTGGGACAACCCACATATTTCAACAGGATGTGAAAGCCACTCATTTTAATGAACAGTCCAACCTGATATAAATACAAAAAAAAATCCATGTGTCAGTAAAAAAAAAAAGAAAGAAAGAAAAAAAGAAAAAGAGAGAGACAGAAAGAAACTAGAGTCTTTGCTTTAATCACTCCCATGTAAAACCAAACCTTCAGATAAAAAGAAATATGGCCAGTCTCCAGTGAGTCTCTTTCCTCATAATGTTGGGCTTTAATTATATTTTCATGAAGTCTGCATGTTATTATTTATATTTCTATGTCGATATTTGCACAGTTGTCGGAGTTTTTGAGGAAGCCTTTTCTCTCTGAGCCCAGAGATGGCTGCACATCTCTTGGAAGGGATGCTGAGGTCCCAAGACAGCCAACCTCCCTCCTGAGACTAGAAAGCATTATCAGCCAGGCTTTTCTTCACAATCTCAATCTGTTCACCTCTCTCTCTCTCTCTCTCTCTTTCTCTCTCTTTCTGTCTCTCTTCTTCCCTCTCTTCCTTTCCCCTCTCTTCCTCCCTCCTCTCCTTTCTGGTAGAGCATCTAATAGAATCATTTGTGCAATAGATAACAATCCTGTTATAGCTGCTGGTGCTTCCCCTGTGTAATTAGGAAGTGCATTGTTGTGTAATTCAGAAATTAATTAGTAGTAAATGTTTCAAGAATGCAGGTGGAAGTGGGAGCCGACTGTGCTCCATCAGCCGTGCATCTGGATTGCTTTCCAACTCCAGGGAAACATCTCCGGGCTCACCCAGGGACATCCACCATAGAGGACACCACCTGGCCTTTGTGGTTCTGAGGGTTGGCACTCCCTTCTTCACCCTCAGCGGTGAGGATATAGCTACAAAGGCCACAAGCCGGCTGCATATCAAGGTGCTCTGACCCACTGCTAGGCAGCAGCCATAGAAGGTGTCTCTTGCTGCCCAAAGAGCTCTCAGGGCCTTTCCAGCCCAGGGAATGGATGGGGTAGATGTTACCATGCAACCTGAATCTTGGGGAGTCCAGAGATTTTTCTCTATCTGGGGAGTAGCCTGAAATTATTTCTCTCTGATATAGAAAGGAAAATTACACATTGGTAACATAGACAGGATCATGGAACAGAAGACAGGACTAAGCAAGGAAGACGACTGCTTCCTGGCCCAGGCTATCCTTTTGGGGCTGCAGTGATGGCCTCAAAGACAAGGTGAAGCTCAACCTCCTCCAGAAGATTGTGGGCTTCCCCATGCAGGCTCCAGTTTATCCTATCCTCTTGCCTTCTCTCATGCTGTTCCCTCTGTCTGGAATACCTTTCCCTCTCCTTTACCAGGGCCTCGCACAGTACCTAGACTATAGCTGATGCTTAATAAATATTTACTGGATGAATGAGTGAAATTCTACCTGTCAAATTTCTACTCATCTTGCATGAAGCCTGCCTTGTTTCCTGAGTCAGCATTAACCTCTCTCTCCTCTTGGCTGGCTTGATTTTTCTGTACATCTCCTACAGCACTTACGTTATGCTGTTTCAAATTACTACTACCTGTATATGGGCCTGTCTCCTCCATTCAATGGCAAGCTTACTGGTGGCAAGGACTTGTTCATCTTTGCATCTCTTCTCAGCAACTCCCCGTGCAAACACTGAGCCTGACATGTAGTTGGTGCTTAAGAAATGTTTATTGACTGAATTACTGAGTAGAATTAAAGACAGTGACTCCATCCCCTGAAAGACTGCCCGCTCCCCTTGGGATGGTGGGGGTTCCCATTTCAGGTAGCCAGGAGAAGCTGAAGGGCCAAACAGGAGCAGTCCATGCCTGCTGGGTAAATCCACTGTGCAAATCCACTCATTAGTATCCATGAAGTTCTGGAACAGACTCCCCGGCAATCCCTTCCAGAGCATACACAGGATAATTTTGACTGCGGGATGATTTTTGGCTTGAATTTCATCACCAGATCATGCCTCTCATCTCCTAATCCTCTCTTCCTTGTTGAACTGAATTCAATTCAACACGCCTAAATTGAAGGCTTATAATACACACAGAACCGCAGAACCTTCTAAAATCCCGGCGAGTTTCCATCTGCTTTCCTCTGTTTTTACTAACAGAGCTATTCCCTTCCATGGAAACTGAGAAGCTGATTCTCTTTGGCAATGCCCTTCCCCTGAGCCTGGCATCCTCAGAGGCTCAGATAGGCCAGGATTAGCACAGCCCTGCCCCCACTGGCCAACAGGAACACTTGATAATACAACTCTGAGAATATCTCTGAACCTCAGGATCCTCTATCTTATATTGAAAATTGATCAGGACCAAAGGGAAGCCCAGCAGACAAGGCTCAATAGATGCTAACAAGACCTGAACTCTGCTTCTAACAATAACTAGAAAAGCAATAATAATCACCGATATTTATGGCGAGTCTCCTGGGGAATGGGCACTTTCTGCATGCCTTTGTACAGTGTCTCACTGATTCTGACAACAATCCTATAAGGTATATATCTATTACTATCTCATTTTACCAATAAGGAAACTGAGACACAGGGAAAGTAAGATGACAGTTGAGGAAATCCGTAGACATCTTTTTGAAGGGGGGCGGAAGCAGCAATCAAATGTTTTAATAGTGAATGAATGAATGAAATGAAATTTCAGCCCAGGGGAGCCCTTTCAGGGAGTGTAAACTTTCTCTTTTCTTCTCTTCTCTCCACCAGTGAGCTGCTTCTTTAATGGGCAGGATAATTCACTAAGGACTCCAGCTTCCTTCCCTCTGCGGTCAGGTGAGCGGGTGGTCAAGCTGTGTGCTCTCTGGCCTCAGGGGACAACTGTGACCAAGAGAGGCAGCCTGAGGAGAATGCCTTTGGGATTTTTCTTCTCTCAAAGCTGAAGCTCTGGGAGGGAGTCAAGAGTGATCGGGGAGGAAAGATTCAGAGGAAGGGGGGATTCCTAAAGGCCAGGAAAAAGAGGCCCACAGCAGAGACTCGTTCCCACACCCAGGCAGCGGCTCCCAGCCCAGTTAGTGTTGGAGTCCACGGGGCTGGAGCAGGAGATGTCACCTCCAAGGACAGGCAGGCTTCGACAGCAACCAGGGTGGAGTGAAAATTAGACATCCTTTTCCCATTTTGCTGTCCCTGTAAATCATTCTGTGTAGCCCTGGGGAGAGGGAGGAAGCTGGGTAGAATGGGAATTCCGTGTGAGATTTAATTAGACTGAGAAACAAGTAAAGCACATTTCATATTGCCAGAGCCCTTTTTTAAAAGTACAATTATTTGTTAATCACTCAATGGCATGGAGAAAGTGGAAGACTGCTCTAGATTAAAAGGTGCAAGCTAGGGGTCTTCTTTGAGTCCTCATCCAAATAAACCAACTGTAAGAGTATATTTTGAAGCCAATCAAGGAAATTTGAATATAGATTGGTTATTAGATATGATTAAAGAATTCTTGTGAATTCTGTTTGGTTGGAGAATGGTGCTGTGGTTGTGTCATAAAATGTCCTTTCCTAGACATCCATAATGGAGGGTAAAATGTCATGGTATCTGTGATTTACTTCAGCAAAAAATGACAAAATAGGTATGATAAAATATTAAAATCTTTTTTTTTGAGATGGAGTCTCACTCTGTCCTAATTCATAATGATGGGGCTTCAATATACTGTTCTTTTACTTTTACTTATATTAGATTTATGTAATATAAGTAATATCTGGGCCAGATGCAGTGGCTCACACCTGTAATCCTAGCACTTTGAGAAGCCAAGGAAGGAGGATCACTTGAGGCCAAGAGTTGGAAACTAGCCTGGGTAACATAGCAAGACCGTGTCTTTACAAACAATTTCTTAAATAGTCGGGTGTGATGGCACATGCCTGTAGTCAGTCCCAGCTACTTGGGAGGCTGAGATGGGAGGATCACTTGAGCCCAGAAGGTCTAAGCTGCAGTGAGCTGAGATCGCATCACTGCACTCCAGCTCTGGGCAACAGAGCAAGACCTTGTCTCAAATAAATAAATAATATCTAAATACATAAATAAATATATAAATTTGTATATAATTTGATAAGTACATAATAAACAAAAAAATTTATATAGAAATAAACATGTTAAATATAAAGACATAAATATAATAGAAATGTTTTCACAAAGAAAAATGTCAACAGATGGTGGTTAATGAAAGGATCTTCCCTCATTCCTCCAGCCCCTGGCTCTGCTCCAGAGCATAACGAGGGAGTGAGAGACGCATCGGCAGCCTTCAGCAGACCTTAAGGAACTCAGTGGCCAGAACTATGCCTCTGCCTTATTTCCATCCCCCATAAGGTCCTACACTTAACTAGTGAACCCTTCCAAAATTGTGAAGAGCCAACATCTGTCTTCACAGCTTGCAAACTCCAAATGATCACCCTGTCCCCCATTAGTGAGCCCTCTTCTCCATGCAACTGCCACTAGTAAGTGACTAACGTTGTCTTTTCCAAAGACCAAAACCAAATGGATAAGCTCGGACATGAAGTGCCGCACATCAGACCGGATTACAGGCAGAGGATATCCAGGATGCTTCACTTCATCCTTGTTGTCTTAGTCCGTTCTGGCTGCTGCAACAAAATACTGTAAACTGGGTGCCTTATAAACAACAGAAATTTATTTCTCATAGTTTCGAAGGCTGAGAAGTCCAAGATCAAAGCACTGGCAGATCTGGTGTCTGTGAGGGCCCCCTTCCTGGTTCATAGAGGGCCATCTTCTCACTGTGTCCTGGAAGGGTAGAAGGGACTAGGAAGCTCTCCTGTGCCTTCTAGAAGGGCACTAATCCCATTCATGAGGACTCCACTCTCATGACTTAATCACCTCCCAAAGACCCCCCCTCCAGACATCCTCACAGTGGGGGTTAGAATTTAATGTATGAATTCAGGACTGGGGGCACAAATCTTCAGGCCATAGCACTTATTGTAACACACAGATGGCCTCCATAGTCACACCACTTATAACCAACGCCAGGCATGGTAGCTCATACCTGTAATCTCAGCACTTTGGGAGGCTGAGGTGGGCAGATTGCTTGAGTCCCAGAGTTCAAGACCAGCCTGGGTAATGTGGTGAAACCCCATCTCTACCAAAAATACAAAAAATTAGCTGGATGTGGTGGTGCATGGCTGTAGTCCCAGCTACTCAGGAGGCTGAGGCAGGAGAATCGCTTGAGCCCAGGAGGTAGAGACTGCAGTGAGCTGAGATCACACCACTGCACTACAGCCTGGGTGACAAAGCGAGAGCCTGTCTCAAAAAAAAAAAAAAGAGAGAGAGAAAGTGAAAAGGTGGCAGAGGGTTCCACCTCTAAGTGGATTCTTTCTGATGCTATCTTTTCTGAAGTGGAGAGGTCAGTGGGCATCTTGGTTATTTACCATCAATGATGTCAACTCTCAAGGTCAGCCAACCTCATACATAAATTGAAGGAAAGGGTTAACATATGGATGGAAGACATGGTTGGGAGACTGAGAGGAGAGCAGAGAAGAGGTAGCCTAGCTTATGGTGGAACTGCCACATCCCAGAGCCAGAGCTAGAAGCAATGACAGGGGTTGGGGCTCAGAGGGAATGAGAACACCCAAGGCTGCAGAGATGCTGGACATCGAAGAAGCTGGCAGGCTGAGCCTGCCCCAACTCAGAATAACAGCTGGTATGAGAGAGAAGCCAGCCAATGAGCCAGACAGAGACCACCCAGGTGGGCCGGGAGCCTGTCTGCCAGTTGTGATGGGCCCTTGTGCATAACCCCGCAGAGCCGGGCTGCTGAGACACGGCTGTTGCCAGGACCTTGGCCAGGAAGAGCCTCCTGTTGCCTGCGGATGGGCTGTCTGCCTGGCTCTCCCAGCCCTGCTCCAAGCTGCTTCTGTGATTGTGCATAATTACAAAAAGCCCTGCCTGGGCAGGTGGATGTGAGGAGAAAGCTAATCCATGACTCTCGGCAGGAAACTGGAGCTCACTGAAGATGGTCTTGTTGTGGTGGAATTACCTAGAATATTTAGGACGCCCCAAACACCTCTCACCAAAATGTCAGCTTCCGTGTTCCAGAAGGTCTCAGATGAGTCTGGGACTTGCATGGTGTCTTGTGTTTCTTCCTATTTACTAGTAAGGAAACAAACTGTGCCTTTAAGAGGTGACACGAATTGATTCTGAAGGCTAGGGAGGGTGGGAGGGCAACAGAGGAAGAGGAAGACCCCCGTGACTCCAGGCTGACTTCACCACACCCCTACTCCCACTGGGGGAATCAGAGATCCATGGGGTTCTCTGCACAAATCAAAGACCCCATGACATGGGAGGCACCACGGCTTTCTCTGCTCCTGGCGTTGTCAGGGTGGGGAGAAGACTGGGGAGGGACCGGCTCAGCAGGAGACCCTGCAGGGGCCACATCTCCTCCTAGAGCTCCACAGCCTTTCAACCCCCAGCACCTCCCTGCCAACAGAGACCCAGCTTTGATGAATCTGCACCTCAATGGCAGTCCCCACTGGGGCTTCTGCTGCCAGGGGCTACTGTGTCATCTGTGAGGGACCAGTGCAAACACATCCTCTCTGCTGGGAAAGCACAGAGAGGCGCCTGCTCTACAGTCTACAGAGCCTCCTCTTCTGCAAAGGGAAAGACAGAGTTCACATTCATTAAGCATCTACTTTGCACCAGGCATTGTTCTAGGCTTTGAGGGAACAAAGAAAACTCCATCTCTGCATCCACAGACTATCCATCTGGAGCGGGGAAGACAAGCAAGTCAACATGTTAATGCAATAAAGTGTGGTGCCGGCTCCCAGAGGGGAAGTGCAGGGCGCTGTGGGAGCAGTGGATTCCAGGAGACACTGAGCTCTCCTGAGATGCAGCCACATCTAGGGGGAAGGACAAGGCCATGACTAAAAGCATCATCTCCCACTGCCTTCATCTTGGGGGAGAAGGAAGCAAAGGGCACACTCTCAGGTGTTTGAGAGGGAAAATGTAGTGCTAGGATCTTTAACCTGCTTCTTGGGCTGTATTGGTAAGGAGTCCTCAGAACAGTCCTTACCTCGGACCCAGGACCCTGAAAGCAAAGGATGTTTTGTAATGAGATAGTATTTTATTTATTACCAGACTATTCCCTCAAGTAGTTGAACCCTGCGGGGCTTCAAAATGAAACTACCTGTTTCAAGTTGATTATAACATAGCACTTTCTATTTAGGGAGAATTGGTTTTGGTCCTCTACAGTGAATAGAGTGAAGACTTGTACCTGGTCGGCATGTCAATGAGCATGAGAATCACACCAGCTGGGCACAGGAGCAGGCTGCATGGCCTCTCCAGGCAGCCGGAGTGTGGCCGTGCACACACCTGCTGAGTCCTGCTGACAAAGCTTCTCCCTCTTATCCCTGACTGGACGAGGAAGGACCCCTTTTCTTCTGGGACCCGCAGGCTGCTAAAACAACTATACCTCTTTCTCTCCCATCAGATTAACAGAGCCCTCCCTGCAGTGGTGCGATGGCAGAGCCCCTCCCTGAGCAGTGAGAGCCCAGAGCTTTTACGTCCTGTCTTCAGTTAAGGGCCTGCCCCTTCCTCCCGACTGGGTCTTGGGAGACTGAAAGGCAGCATTGAAGCCAACTGGTGCTTGCCGTACTTAAGAGTCATATTCCTATAAGGAACATTCATCTAGATCTACTTCCGGAAAGAGAAAATTAATCCATAATCAATCAGACTGATCCAGGGCCAAAGCATGTGTGTGTGTGTGTGTGTGTGTGTGTGTTCTCCTTGATATTTCATGTCTGCATAGAACAACCAGCTATGCAGACATAGAGTTTGCTTTGAACAACCAGCCCTGTCCCCATTCCTCCCTTAGGGACACCATGGCTGTGCCATCTATTTTCTTACTAACAACAGAGATGCCAGCATTCAGCTGTGAGCAAAACTAACCTGAACTGCCTTTCCCCTCTAGCTATTTGCCAGGTAAGAATTCTCCTCAGTACAGTCCAGCAGTCTCCCATGTCTGCAAATAAGGAAGAAAGCCCTGTTCTCCCAGCATCCCATCCCTGCCCCCTTCCTGGGCTCCTTTCCTGAAGGTGGCCTCCGGATGCATCTCGGTCCACAGAAGACTTCTCCTCTGAGAAATTAACCTACACTTTGTATCTTTCAGCAGTTTTGAGTTGTGCCATTTCCCGAGAACATCTTCTTTCCCAAAGCATAAAAAGCCCAGGATACAGCCCAGATAGCATATCACGAGAGAAAGGTGGAAACCATTCTGGCTCACAACTTTAATTGATTGCTTTCCCTCCACTGGGCCCACCGGGTCGGCTTACATAGCTCATAGCTCAGTGCTGCTGAAATAGACCCAGGGCAAGAAAGGTATGAACAACCAGTGAATGCCACTGGAGCATAAATGTTCACAAAATTGTAGAGAAGGGGTGACAAGAAGCAAGCAGTGGGGCAGGGAGTGTCACTGATGTCCGAAACCCCGGGTCAGACCAACACGCAGCACAGCCACTGCAAAGGAAAGGGACAAGATTGAGTCTTGGCTTCTCAGGGGCTGGTGTGCTTTCACCATTGATGCTCTCCTGCCTCACATGGGTGCGATCTTTTTATCTCCATTCTCCAGTAAGTGCCTTGCTCAAACATGGGAAGCAAGGAAGGCTTTCACTATATCACTAACTCCTGAACCAGGGTACTACAGAAATGTGACTCAGAAAAAGCTCTAGACCCAAAGGGAGCTCCAAAAATAGGTATGTGCATGTATATTCATACACACACACACACATACATATATACACAATAGTGTATACTATTATATACACACATATATATACACTATATATGTGTGTGTATATATATATCCCTATAGATTCCTATATATGTGTACATATCTTTTCCTATATATGTATTTGTTTCTATATGTGTATATATATATATTCCTATATGTGCATATTTGTGTGTGTATATATGTATATTTTATGCACCCACACAACCACACTCCATTTTAGGTTCCACACTATTGTCCAGGTATCTGTGGGAATCCACAGGTCTATTTCTAGGAAGGCCTTTCCTGGGCTACAGGAAAGAGGTCAATAGCATTCCCACTTTAGAGAAGAAAAGAAAGTGGGTAAGCACAGACAATGGGGCACAGCCAGTAATAACCTGGCCCTCTAGTTCCACCGCCTCAGAATCAAGTCAAAGGCCAATGCCTCCCCCTGCCTGGACCCTTGGAGACATCTCCACACTTCCTGCTGTCCCCTCTGGCCAGTAAAGGCCTCTGTCGTACAGGGGTGCAGTGTCCACGGGGGAAGTACTCTGATTTTTTCTGCAAAAACATTATGTGACTTGTACACAGTAAAAACACTTGTTCATTTTGCATCTTCATTCTACCCACTGCAATTTCATTTTTGTTTCCTACATCCTTCCATAGGTCCATATAAGACAGCTGGTCCTAGAAGCCAGACACTTTATATTGTGCCCACTACCCACAACTCCATCCAAATTAACAAGGGCTTGCATCTCCGAAATTATCTGAAATGTAGCTGTAGCTTTATCTTTACGATCATAATAATAATAAACAAAAATGTTTGGAAAACTGTATAACAGTTGCCTTCCTCCCTGCTGGGTGCCTGCCACAGAACATGCATGGTATTCACATGGAACTAAGACAGCCAACAGGAATAAGCATCACTTGGCAGCTACATGGTCCAAGAATTTCAGAGTACCATCAGCCAGCAATTCATCAAACCTCAGGACATTCACCTCGGCCAGAGAGAGCTGAACCATGCCATCCTTGTCTTCGTCCAGAAGGCTGAATAGTTCTAAAACACCAGAGAAGGAAATGAAATTAGATAAGGCTGTTCCTGGACTTTGGAACAATCAGAGAGCTGCCTCTGTCTACCCCATCCCCACCTGCGGAACTCTCCTTTCCCCTACCACCCCCTCCCCTCCAGCCCCCACCTAGGCCCAGGGGCCTCAAAAAGCTAGATCCAGGGCACACAATGAGCTTTTGGGGGATCAGATGCCCCCCTGCCGAAACAGACAAACCCCGTTGCCAGCAGAGATGGTCCCTTTGGTATCTCCATCCTCAGAAGCTTTATATCAGAAACGTGCAATTACTTTATCAAGGTCAAACAGATTGTGGTTGTCTTGCTTGTGGGTAATCCAGTCCCTTAGCTTTGTCTCTGGCTAACTGACCTTGACCCACTAGAACGTAACACCTACCAAACCTCAGTGGAAGGAAAAATCCCTTCCTAATAAGATATCTAATCTCAAGGCCCAAGATGGCAGAAAAACGCCTATTGCCTTCAGAGGGCACCCCCCATCCCTTCATTGGAAGGTGGCACATGTTCTCAATATGATCCCTATTGAAAAACAAATATAAATAGACACTAAACACCATCTAAGAACAGTTACTGTGACTCATTCATCTTGGCCTAGTGACTGCACACTGTAGATGCGCAATAGTCTGGATGGCAGCTTTGTTAAGTCTCCAAAAAAGGCATCCTCCGTCCTGGATCTGGCCAGCCTGGACTTCCTCAGCCCCTTCAGGTCCAGCTGCCCCTCGCCCCCAAGGTGCCAGCATTCCAGAAGCCCTGTCTATCATTTTCTGGGTCCCTGGCCTCCTAAAGGCAATGTCTGGTTCTGCCCCTTGGCCCTGCCCCTGCCCCACCTTGCACCTTGGGATTAATAGGATGGGGCTGGAGGACAGAGTGACTCACTGAAGAGGGTCTCCAGGCGGATCATACAAGCCACGAAGCTGTCAAAGTTGATGCCAAGCTTGCTGCACGCATACCGCAGGGCAATGGTCTGCTGCACCTGGCTGTTGAGGGTGAAACCTGAGGGCAGAGGGAGCCTGGGTCACAGGTAGAGTGGAGGACTCAGCACTGTCTCCCATAAACACTCAAGGAGCTGACATCCCAGGGGCCCCTCTGTGGTTCTGTATCAATCTGCAAACCAGGCCTGACTCTGCCTTCTCCAGGGGATCCCAGAAGGTGTCCTGCCATCCATCCCTCTCCTTGTAGCTACTCCTCACCAAGATCAGCCTAATTCCAGGTCCAGCGCTAGTACCAGCACCAACTCAGCCATGGGTCACATCAGCAAGCAAAAGCAGAGAAGGTGAGGGGGCTGCCTGTCTGGCCAGTTCCTGTCTGTCTCCTTCATAGCCCCTTCCTCTGTAATTGCTGTCACCTTCCCAGTAACAGGCAGAGATCTTGGAAAAATTCTAAAATATTATGCTATATGGAATCGAGCAATATTCTCCCCTTCCTGGACAGGGAAGGTACTCAACAAAGCTCTGTTGTTGCCTTGATATCCCATATAAGAAAGCTACAAATGATGATCATTAGCAATCATCATCATGAGAATAAATATTTACAATGTGCACACCTGGATCCCAAGACCCTGTCTACAGGATGTGTCCTCACCTGCCTTCCTGAGGGCTGTCCTCATCTCGTGGGCATCGATGGTGCCCGAGTGGTTATAATCAGTTTCCCAATAGATCTCCTAAAGCAGGAAAGAAATCCCAAGTAGAAAACAACCATTCACGGCCCCTGCCAGAACCATCTCCCTCCACCACACTGCTTTCTCAAAAGGCCAGGGACACTTTCAAAAGGAGACCCTATTGACTCCTCCCAAGAAGGTTTCAGAGCAAGCATAAGAGCTTGGCCAGTGCTGGCCCCTTTGCTGTCTGAACAGCAGGGCTTTCAGGGCAGTGGTTGGCATGAGAGTCTCTCATTGCCTTCTTGTTCCTTCATGACCAATGTGCCCAGGACTCAATAGTTTTGACCATGATTAAGGATGTGGTCAGAATACAATGGACCAGGAATGAGTGTAAGGGAGGATTAGAACAGAGGAGAGGATGCCCAGAAGGAAAAGAGAGTTACCAGATACTTCTGAATCTTCAGCCAGAGCGTCTTGAATTCCACCGCCCCCAAAGTGCCCGTTCCATTGCTCTAGGCACATTAAAGACCAACATGATTGAGTCCAAATTCTACATGCCTTATAGATTTCTTTCTCTTGTGAGCTTGCATGAGTGCCTTAAGGCCTTAGTGAACCTTCCATGTCTGTGGCAAGCAGAGCAGTGGGGGTGACGGTGTGTAACAGGTTCAAATAAAGATTAAAAAGTCAAACGTGCACCAAGGCTCTCCTCTGAGGCCAGGCACAGAGCTAGGAACAAAGGGCAAGTCATGAGCTGGCCAATCTGCAATATCGTGAATACCCTAATCATCCTGGTTTATTTACAGGGTGGAGCTGTATGATCTGTAAATTCGCTTCTACATTTACATTTCTGTGATTGATCATTCAGCTAATTAGAGTTTGTTGGAATGTCAAAATGTTATGGGAAAAGACATCAGGAGCCAGGAACCATGGGACTGGGAGTCTAAGCCACAGAATCTGCTCATAGGCCACTATACAACCAAACAGGAGGATATTATGAGGGATTTTCTGTGTCCAACTTACATTCACTCCACAACTTTTTTTTTTTTTTTTTTTTTTGAGACGGAGTCTCTCTGTCGCCCAGGCTGGAGTACAGTGGTGTGATCTCAGCTCACTACAACCACTGCCTCCAGGGTTCAAGCAATTCTCCATGTCAGTCTCCCAAGTAGCAGGGATTACAGGCACCCGCCACCATACTCCACTAATTTTTTTTTTTTTTTTTTTTTTTTAGTAGAGATGGTTTCACCATGTTGGCCAGTCTGGTCTTGAACTCCTGACCTCAAATGATCTGCCTGCCTCAGCCTCCCAAAGTGCCACGACTATTTTTTTTTAACGCTGTGCTAGTCAATAGGGATTTAGTTTTGAATGCACTTATGCTCCTAAAGTTAAGTTTTTTAGAGACTCTACAATTTTCTCACCAGTCACAACTAATCAATAAACAGTGCGTATGTTACAGCACCAATGTTAAAATTTTGAAACAGCCCCAGCTACTCAGGAGGCTGAGGCAGGGGGATTGCTTGAGCCCAGGAGTTTGAGGCTGCAGTGAGCTCAGATTATGCCTGTGAATAGCCACTGCACTCCAGCCTGGGCAACATAATAAGACCCCATCTCTGAATAAATAATTAGAATTCTAAAACAGACTATCACTTTAATTAGCCAAACAAAAAGTCCTGTAAGCCTCATACTTTAAGAAAGTCTGTGTTCTTGGATCTATAATCCGCACTGAGTGTTGAATGCATCATAGCCTTCAAATCCTTACTAATAATTCAACCAACACATCTCAGAACAGTAGTATGCAAAGGAAGCTAACACTCGGGGCTAGGTACTCTACATACTTGTATCTCATTTCATCCTAACAATAGCCACACAAGCTAGACATAATTATCCCATTTTCCAGGAGAAACTGAAGTTCAGAGCATTTAGTAACTTCCTCAAATTTATACACCTCAATAAGTGGTAGAGCCAGAATTTGGACCCCTGTCTGTTTCAAAACCTTTGTCCCAGAACACCAGTGGTCTTCAATTCCAGATAAAATTGCTTGCAGAGACCACACCTATGGAATCAGGATCTCCAGGAATCAGGGGTTTTTGTTTGTTTTGTGGTTGTTGTTGTTGTTGTTGTTGTTGTTGTTGTTGTTGTTGTTGTTTGAGACAGAGTCTCACTCTCTCACCCAGGCTGGAGTGTAGCAGTGTGATCTTCACTCACCGCAACCTCTATCTCCCAGGCTCAAGCGATTCTCGTGCTTCAGCCTCCCCAGTAGCTGGGATTACAGACATGTGCCATCACGCCTGGCTAATTTTTGTATTTTTAGTAGAGACAGGATTTCACTGTGTTCCAGACTGGTCTCGAACTCCTGGCCTTAAGTGATCTGCCCACCAGTGCCACCCAAAGTGCTGGGATGACAGGCATCAGCCCCTGCGCCCCGTCAATTTTTAAAATTTTTTTTCTAGCACTTTGTAGGACATGTGAAAGACTGTATTTTTAAACTGTATTTTTAACACCCCATGGGTGATAAAGTACTGATACATGCTATAGTAATTGAAACATCATGTTCAGTAAAAAAAGTCAATTACAAAGGACCACATATTGTATAATTTCATTATATGAAATGTCCACAATAGACAAATTTGTAGAGACAGAAAGTAAATTAGTGGTTGCCTAGGGATGGTCGTGGAGGTTGGGGGAAATGGAGAGCGACTGGTAATAGGAGTACAGGGTTTCTTTTTAGGGTGATGACAATGTTCTAAATTATGTGATGATGGTTGCTTAACTCTGAATACACAAAAGCCATTGCCTGATATACTTTAAATGAGTACGCTGTATGGTGTGTAAATGATATCTCAATAGAGTTGTTATTTTTTTAAGGATTCCATGGGTATTTCTGCTGATTCAGAACCACTGCCCCACACTACCTAAACTGTGGAACAGAAACTCCTGAAGAGTGGCAGAGAGTCACACTCCTCTTTGAACCGTGAGAGACACAAATACCATTGGGAATAAAGAGTGGGTAGATTACAAGGCAACTCTCAAATCTAAACTGAAGTCAACAGATGGGGTTTGATGAGAATGATTCAGAAACCAGGGAACTATTTGCAGTAAAGTGAATCAATACTTAACAGTTCCTTGCAGTCCACAAATTAAATTGTCAAGCATGGAGAAAAGACACGAGGGCTAAAGAGCCCCAGCCTCATGCAGGGAGTGGCCGACTGAAGCTCAGAGGCCAAAAGATAGCACCAGCCCTCCATGGTGGATCAGCCACGCAGAGGTGGGCACACATGCTCTGTCATCCAGGACCACTCTGCATGACAACCATGCAAAGGAAAATCCTTCCTCCCGTCCCGCAGTTAATGAAAGAACCCACAGTAAAGATCATCATGGATGAACAGACAGAGCTCATCATGGATGAGGCCCCAAGGAACTGAGAAAAACCCTCCAAGGCTCCAATTTTTAAAGAAATCACCTTCACCATCAGCACTGTGATAAATGGCAACCTGGACCCACTGTGGGCAAAGCTCTAAGGAAGTGATGTTACACCACTCACCCTCTGTGCCTTCACACCTAGAAGGTTCCTTCCACCTAGAATGCCCTGACCTTCTCCATTCCTCCCAAAAACTACTGCCCATTTGCTATAGACTGAGTGTTTTTGTCCTCCAAAATTTGTATGCTGAAACCCAATCCTCATGTGAGGATATTAGGAGATGGGCCTTTGGGAGGTAATTAGGTCATGAGGGTGGAACCCTCAGAAATGAAATTAGTGCCCTTATAAAAGGAACCCCAGGAAACTCCCTCACCCCATCTACCATGTGAAGTTATAGCAAGAAGATGCCATCTATGAACTAGGAAACTGGCCCTTATCCACCACAAAATCTACCAGCACCTTGATCTTGGCCTTCTCAGCCTCCAGAAGAGTAAGAAATAAATTTCTGTTGTTTATAAGCCACCCAGTTTATGGTCTCCTGTTACAGCAGCCAGAACAGCCTAACACACCATACTTCAATATCAAGTGAGGGTTAAACTAGATCAGGGAGAACAAATAGATTTTATCTTGTGTGATAACTCTAAACTATCAGTAGTAGCTGTCCACAAGCCATGTTAAGATTCTGAAGCAAAGATCAGATAGTGATGGGGAGAGCTTGGGAAGCAGGGAACGGTAGAGGGTGGGGGTGGGGACGGGTAGAATTGAAGGGGAGGAGGAAGATGAAGAGATGAACAGAGTGTGGAGGGAGCAGGTGCGCAAATGCCCCATGCTTGCTACCTCCAGATTACATGATTTTAAATAAGTCACCTAAACACTGCACACCTCGGTTTCTTCACCTGTGAAACGGAGATAATCTCAAGCTTTCTGAGACACATCCATGATATGATACATTTTCCTTTGAGGCTTCAAGTACAATCCTTGACATATGCTCCATGCCTGCTCTCTCCCCTTCTCATTTTTTACCCGTCCCTTCCTTCTAACTGGAAAAGGTGGAGGAGTCTTTAAAAACCGGACGAAAGTAAAAAAAAAAAAATAATGCAACATTTAAAGGATACATCCAACAGACTGATCATTTCCCTGCAAGTGTTGATGTTGAATCCATCGAATTTTATGTCTGTTCCTAAAGATTTAAATAGAAAAGGGGAGTGGGAATCGGATCATTTGAAGGTGAGGGAAAGAACCTCCACGGTAGAAGACCTCCAAAGATACCATCCAAGGGTGTGGAACCGAACTTGGTCTCTGCCAAAAGGGGAGAGCATCATGGCAGGCTTGTGGGCAGATACGCCTGAGCCTCCTGGTGCCGTGGGAGATAGAACAGACAAGCACCAGCATCCAAGTACAGCATCTGAACCTTGGCTTGGCTCCCCACAAGCCACAGACTTCAGCAAATTAATATCTTTGAGCTTTAATTTCCTCCTCCATCAAATGGGAATAATCATGATAGTAACAATGACCATACTTGCCCCAAAGACTGGCTGGGTATTAACTGAGATAATGAAAGTGAAGTTTTAGCCCAGGCTTGATATATGATAAGTTCTTAATAAAACAGCTAACTTTATATGGCTAGGTATTGTTATAAGCACTGCACATCTACTCTTCAAAATCACTCCGTGTGGTAGATGCTATCATTATACCCACTTTATAGATCAGGAATCTGAGTCCCAGAGAGGTTATATGATTTGCTCAAGGTCACAACCAGTAGGGGGCAAAGCTAGGAGTTAAATGCAGGCCAGCCAGCTCCACAGCCTGAGCTTGTAATCACAACACACAGCCACTCAATGACAGCAGCTATCCTTCCTTACTAAATTGCAGGCATGTCACTGGAGCTCCATCCCTGGCCTCCACCCTCACCTTCCATATACCTGGGAGCCAAGACAGGTGCCAAAGACCCTGCAACCCCTTCTCTTTCTCTCCACTCTTCAACAACTGCAGGAGCAAGAGTGGTGTGGAGAGGAGACGGGCCTGTGCTCCGAGCCCTGGGGATCCATCTGCTCAGCCCTGGGTTCGTCCCTGGGAAGGGTATGACTTGGCTCCTGGGCCAAGCCCCTGCTTCCTGCATTCTCAAGCCCTGTCCTGCTGCAGTGAGTGAATGAGAGCCCATCACTCACTGGAAGACTTAACCTGGCCCATCCCTGGACCCGGAAAGAAACCAGCTCCCTGTGTCCTCCTGTGGGCTGGGGCTCAGAGGGGAGATGCAAATCTTTCCTCCTGACAGCTCTGAGGCTTGCAAAAATCTGAAGATGGGGAACTGAGGACAGTCTAGGAGAGTCAGAATCATCCCTTCCTTCCTCCTTCCCTCAAGATGAGCTACAGAACTAGATCTTTCATCTGCAGAGGTTTCCACAGTATCCAAGTTATTAATTTTGTGAAAAAAATTCACTTAAGTCAATCCCAGCCCAGCTCTTTTTCTCCTGGGACTCAGCCTGCAATTTCACTTGACACTATGGAGCTTTGTTCCTTCAGGTGCTGGCTGCTTGCCAGCACCAGCCCCGCCTTCACCTCCACCCTCGCCTCCCCGTCTTCTGCCTCTCCTTCTTCCCCTCTTGTCTTGCTGGACTGAATCAGGGCTCCTGGGGTCAGACACCAATGCCCTTTCTCCCACCTGTGGTGCTGCCAGCCCAATGCCTGCCTACCCATCCCTCACCCTGCCCCAGCATCTCCTACGGACTTTCTGAAAGACCCCAAGAAGGAACTTACTCTTGGAAAACGCCTCATTCAAAAGTATCTTGAGTGCATTGGCAGTAATCTCAGAATCCTAGAAAGAGGAACCCAAATGCAAATCATGTCAGGCCCTGACAAGTTGTTTCAAGACAGTAAATTAATGCAGTGCTTCCTCACAGTCAGACACCAGGCCCACTGGCCCTGTGAGGTTTATTTGTTTTTGTTTTTTGTTTTTTTTTGAGACAGTCTTACTCTGTCACTCAAGCTGGAGTGTAGTGCCGCAATCTCTGCTCACTGCAACCTCCATTTCCCAGGCTCAAGCAATTCTCCTGCCTCAGCCTCCTAAGTAGCTGGGACTACAGATGCGTGCCACCACGCCTGGCTAATTTTTGTATTTTTAGTAGAGACGGGGTTTCACCATGTTGGCCAGGATGATCTTGAACTCCTGACATCGTGATCTGCCCACCTCAGCCTCCCAGAGTGCTAGGATTACAGGCATGAGCCACCGTGCCCGGCTGGCCCTGTGATTTTAAAAGCAGGTGGCATCTTTAAAAACTCAAATTATCCTCTTCTTTTGGGGATCCCAGCAGCCTGGCCAGAGGTGTGTTAGTGCCATGAGTGTGGTACACACCGTGGCAGAAGGCTGCCATGCCAGGGTCCTGCTGCCTTTCACAGGGCTCGCTTGAACAGGGATAAAGTAACAGGAACAGCAGTGATAGGATTGAACCAGATGTGCCAGAGCCAGTGTGGAAGATCCTTAAATCCTCAGCACAATTCCACAGCCATTTTCAAGTTAAGGAAGTCGTGATTTTGTAAACTGCTGAACACTGTATACATGCAACATCATTTGTCATTTTCATGTGACGTAATTGCTTGTGGTTTGTAGCTACCAAGAGGCAGAGCTAGACTTGGAAACCTAAGGTTGGTTCACCCCAAAGTGCCGGCTTTCCCCACCACACCTACAGGAGTTGGTATTTCACATAGGAGCCCATCTCAAACTGGGGGCAGAGATTGAGAGAATAGCATATTCTGTGTGCATCTGGGATAAACACTGAGCCAGAGGGAAGAGTCATCCCTTAACTCTCAGATGGAGAGCAGATCTCAGGCAGGATGACCAAGGAAATGCAGAGAAGGCGT
This sequence comes from Homo sapiens, assembly GCF_000001405.40. Taxonomy (NCBI): domain Eukaryota; kingdom Metazoa; phylum Chordata; class Mammalia; order Primates; family Hominidae; genus Homo; species Homo sapiens. Next base: position 223,552,061 of record NC_000001.11, read on the forward strand.
GCTGGGCTGATGTCTGGGTCCCAGTCTCAACTCAGCCCCTTATTCATCATGTGACTTTAGCCGAGTCACTTTCCATCTTCCCATCCTCCGCTAGCCAGGCCCTGGCAATTCTACTGGAAATGAGAGAGGCAAGAGCTGCACAAAGCAGTGTCTCCTCTGAGGACAACTGGCCTCACCCCAGCACAGAGTGGTCAGTCCCAATAATAAGACCTGAGGACCTGGGCCAGGCACGGTGGCTCACACCTGTAATCCCAGCACTTTGGGAGGCCGAGGTGGGTGGATCACCTAAGGTCAGGAGTTCGAGACCAGCCTGGCCAATATGGCGAAACCCTGTCTCTACTAAAAATGCAAAAATTATCCAGGCGTTGTGGCTGGCATCTGCAGTCCCAGCTACTCGGGAGGCTGAGGCACGAGAATCGCTTGAACCCGGGAAGCAGAGGTTGCAGTGAGCCGTGCACCACTGCACTCCAGCCTGGGTCACAGAGCAACAGTCCATCTCAAAAAAAAAAAAAAAAAAAAAAGACTTGAGGCCCCTTTAAAAAGCCTCTGGGGCTAGAAGACTACCCCCATTAGCCTGCCAGGAAAGAAATGGGATGTCAAGAGTCTACATTTGGACCTTGACCCCGTCGTTCATGAGGCCTTGTACCCTCAGCCAGCTCCTTAACCTCTCTGTGCAGGCCACTTTACAAGCCGAGCAAGGAGAGTGACCAATACTGCCCCATGCAGCCAGAGAGAAAGGTAAGATAAAGTGCATGAAGAACTATGCAAATATGAGCTTTTCCTTTCATCATTCTTGGTGTTCTTAATAAAATATGGCCCTTGGCAGCTAAGGAAACAGGTTTTGTTAGCAAAAATACTGGCCTGTAAATCCATCTAAAACATAAATTGGCTCATCTTTGCAAGGGTTTTATTCAATGGCTATGCAAAGGAACTGTTCCCAGGTTTTATTTCCTGCAAGGGATTCTGATATCTTTTCTTCTATTTTATCCTTAAGTCTAGAAAGTCACCCTGAGTTTCCCGGGGTGGTGGGGGGAGACCATTGTTTTTTCCTCTTCCGGGCCCTTTTCACACACTTTATTATCCTCCAAAGAGTAACACATTCGCTGTATTTATGGGGCCGGTTTTGACATTTCAAGTCCTGGTTATGCTTTGACTTGTGGCCCCCACCGGGCTGCTACCAAAGTGAACGGAAGCCAGGGCAGGGGAGAAGGATCAGGGGTCGCTTCTTTCTCTGCTCCAAGTGCCCAAGTTGCATTCATGTCGGGCAAAGCTTGGATTCCTCAGGCTGCTGGTCTCCCAGAGGGCGGGCAGGGCTGCAGGACGGTGACAGGGAACAGGGCTAGTCCTGCACACTAATCCCAAGCCAGGTTAGCTGAGCTGCCTTCCACTGCGGCTGGGCAATCCTCACTCTGAAGGATATCTATTTGGAGAGGTTTTGCCATCCCAGCTTTTTATTCAGAGACCCCAATCTGACAGGGCCAATCTGCAAACAGAAAGGCTTTTGGCAGGACCTGGAGATCTGGCTTTTCTATTTTCTCAAGAGTCAGTCAACGCAGCAAGATAAGTAGCCTCAGGACCAATTCCCAAGTGATGAAGGAAAGGTACTCAATCTTAAGACAGGATGGTGATGGGCACAGAAGCTGGGGGCCCCTGAGACCTGAGTCTCACCCTTTTTATGCCTAGAGACCTCAGGGAGTAAAGAATGAAGTGACCTGAGCATTCCTGAATATTCTCCTGCCCACCTGGGAAGCCATGTTCGCCCTCCACTCACCTTCCCTGCCAACTTCTCAAACAGCCTCCTGAACTGGTCATCTTCCTGATCCACCTCACTGGGATGTGGCTAAAAAGAAGGACATTTGCAAAGTTAAAATGGGAATCGTCAAGGAGAATGAAAGACGAAGATTTAAAATTCATTCCTTCATCCATTAGTATCTATGATGCACCTACTATGTGCCAGGCTTTGGGCTAAGTGGGGGCACATGGTGGCAAACCAAGAGACAGCAAAGGTCCTGGCCCCAGGGAGCTTACAGTCCAGCAGGGATGAGCAGAGAGGCAGCGCTGGGGCCTAGCAGTTTTCTCTCTAAGTGATTTGGGGAAGTGAGCCCCACCAACCCTGAATTTCTGATTACAACCTGAACAACTTTCAGAAAATGACACTGACACCAGAAAATCTTGGTGTGAATCTGTGGACTCCTAAGGGAATCACTGATAATTTTCCAGGGAGTCTGAACTCCAGAAATTGCGTGAAAACATGGGGTCATATCTAAATGCATTTTTGGCTGGGTGCAGTGGCTCACACCTGAAATCCTAATACTCTGGGAGGCTGAGGCGGGCAGGTCACGTAAGCCCAGGAGTTCGATAGTAGCCTGGGCAACACGGTGAAACCCCATTTCTACAAAAAATACAAAAATTAGCTGGGTGTAGTGGTGCACGCCTGTAGTCCCATCTACTTCAGAGGCTGAGGCCACAGTGAGCCAAGACTGTGCCACTGTATTCCAGCCTGGGTGATAAAGCGAGACCTTATATCAGAAAAAAAAAACATTTTCTTAGCTTTCATCAGATTCACGAAGAGCAACATGATTTCAAAAGTGTTGAGAACATGGCCTAGTAGAAAGAGTAGAACTAGAAGCCAGGAGACTGGAGTTCAAATAGCAGATTGTACCCTTACTGGACACTATCTCAGGGCTCTGAACATCCATGGCCTCCACTCTGTTATTGATTTAACCAGACCATTTTCATGGGGCCATTTTAGGAATCAAATGAGAGCTAATGTGGGTCAAAGTCCTTTGGAAATTACAAACCATTATATGAATGCTTCTGTCCAGAGACTTTCTGATGTGACAATGGGCTCTGCCCAAAATAGGACAATGCCCAGTTGTCACCACAAGACAGAATGGAAAAGTGACAGCTTCCCAGATGACACGAAATTTCTAGAAAGCCGGGTTAATTTCTTTCAAAACTATCACTAAGATGAGTACAAAAGGCCCAATATAGCTTGATGATGCTGTACTCATAAAGATAACCACTGTAGTAATAATACTTGTCTTTGTTGAGTACTTACTACCTGTCAGGTACTTTGCGTGGATTATTTCATTTAATATTCACCACTGTCCTGTGAGGTTCCTCTCATTACTGTCCTCACTTCACCAATGGACAAACTGGAATTTTAAATGTTACTTCATTTTAAATGTTATGTAACAGGCCAAGATCACACAGCTAGTAAACAGTGAAGCCAGGATTAAACTCCAGCCCATGCACTTCTCCACCACCCTCTGGAATGATCGTCAGAGAAGATGCTCCCTGCATCCGACTACTCTCAGCCTCTCTGGGGCTGTTTCCTCACCTGCAGAATGAGGATATTAACGCCTACCATGCTGTTTACATAGAAGATATGCTAATCTAAAAATACATCTAGATTTTTAGAAGAAAAAATGATAAACACATCATATCTCATCACACATATATGATTTTAAAGTGGTTTTATAGGGAAAACAACATTATATCATTCATGTAATACAGTATGCCAAAATCTTGGATGTCCATAAATTCCAGACATGGAGTAATATTCTCCATGTCTGGAAAAACATAAAATTGCATAGGGGAAAAACATAAAATTGCATATAAAAACTAACAACAAAACAGTATATGGATATGGACACACACAGGCACATAGCAGGCATCCCGTCACTGGGAGTTATCATTGGACACAAGGGAATTTTTGGACATTGGGAATGAGGAAAACGTGTACGTGGTTGCAACTGTGGTACTTCACAATTTGTCCATTCAAAAAAAGATTTACTGAACACCTGGCCCATGTTGGGAACTGTTCAGAACCTGCGTGTGAATGCAATGGTGAACAAGGCGTAGTTTTTGTTCTCAAGGAACGTACTATAGTGGAATTTTCTATTTCCCTGATACAATCTATATGAAAATGCTTTGCAAATGGTATGGCAGCATGGCAAACGCAAGGAATTATTTTCTTGTTATTCATTATATCACATGTTGGGAATGTCTTTACAACCCTGCTCAAAGTGAACACGGCTAAATTCCAAGAGTGTGTTTGTTCACCCTGTAATTTTTCCTTCCCTCATTCAGAGCAGGTGATTATGCTCTTTGAATGTCCAACTGTCCGTGACTTGGAGATTTCTGCAGGGAATAAAACAGAAGTTCCTAAAGGCAATAGTCCTTCCTGTCTTCTGTAAAGTACTGAGTCCCCTGAGGACATTATCTGTGTATTCTGGGGTGTGTGTGTGTGTGTGTGTCAGTCACAGCACAGTGGTGCCCTAAAGAGAAAAAGCAGGGTCTCCCTGAGACCAAGAAGATGTTGAAAGTTTACAGGATCTTGGGGATATGGGAACCCTTGAATGGCTCCATAGCCATGTCCTAGTACCTCAGAAGGGGAGGCTGGACCATTGGCCTGAGGACTCCCAGTTCATCAAAGATTCTAGGCCCCATGCTGAGCACAGAAGCCCAAGAGCTGTCAGTCATAAAGAAACCTGTGAGCTGACCACAGGGGTAACCAATGTGGACCCATGACCAGAAGAGACTTCCTGTTGCTTGGGAGCTTTAGAAAACCCCAATATCATGGGACGTGGAGATGGGAAGCCCCAGTAGTGACTAGGATTGAACTCCTGCCAATCTGGTGCAAGAGGGGCTTAGGATCAGTATAAGTTGATTTAGCAGAACCCTGCCCTTCCCATCCAAAAAAGGAGAGAAGATAATTCTTAGCACCTGAATTCAGGCTCAGCTCCATACTCTACACTGGCAAACCGCAGCCTTTCTAATATGCCTGGGACCCACAGTAAGAGATGCCACCGTGAGCGATAAGTCCTCCTGGGGGCAGTGAGAAGGCTGAGCTGGCATCAGCAACTGAGGCGAGGGGTAGGAGGGAAAATTCTGCCCAGCTCAGATCACCAAGAGTCACAAGCACAGAAAGGGCCTCTGGCGCCAGGTATTGCCACCAACTCGAGGCAGGGGGCGCTATTGACCACTGGCTGAACTACAGTGCACAGGGAAGCAGTCACACCAGTTCAGAAACTAACTGGAATAAGAAAAAATAGACATGGGGCATGCATTTTCTATCTGATAAACTCACAACACAAACCCCCAAGGCAAGATGGATCCTTATTTGGCACCATCTCATGCATCAGCAGAAACACGAGCTTGTAAATTTGACACATGTCAAATCACAGAATATGTGATTTGTATATGTGGTGTGTATATGGGTGTGTGTGTGTCTGCCCCCACCTCCATTCAGCCGAAGATGCCACGCCCAGCAGCTGGGAGCACTCTGTGTGGCATCTGCAGCCAGAGACACGTCAGTGTTGGACGGAGGGGTAGAAGCTGGGCCTGTGCCCCCATGAAGGTGGTCCTGCCCCACCCAGGCCAGTGCCCACTGGCCACAGACACAGCATGGCTCTCAGGGAGCAGCAGCACCCAATATACCCATCATCCGCCACACCCACCATCTGAGAACAACGACAGTACATTGAGGACACAGTGAGGAATAAAGGGAGTGAGGTGGTGAACCCACACCTCAAACCCTACATATTTATTCCTCCAAAGTCGGCTCAGAACTCACCTCCTCCATGGGGCCTTCCCAGACTAGGCACTCCCCCAGCACCCCTCAGACTACACATACTCAAGTTTAGATGGGTTTTCTGGTGTGTTCTTCTCTTCATCTTTCACATATACTTTCATCATTTGTCCTCCAAAAGACTGGAGGTCAATCCAAGAGCAGGACACTGGATCTATTCTCTCAAGGACTTCTCTATCTCGCACAGGACAGCTTAGGCACAGTGGGTGCTCTATCTGTGGGTCCTGCTTATCAAACATGGAAGACGATGGCTAAGACCTCCCCCAGGGGGTAGGGATATATTACAAAGCCTGGGTTCCAGGGCTACTTCTGTCTCATCTTCATCAGGAAGAGACAGGGACTAGAAAATGTTGTGGCCCTAACTAATAAGAAGTTATCATCCTTAATACATAAAGATTCTGACAAATCAAGAAGAAACCTGGAATGACTGCTATGCAACAGTGTCAGAGTTTGGCATACAAAAAGATTGCATACCTCATATGGGTTTCCAGCTACCACATCCCCAATTTCTCTGAAATGCAAAGAAAGAAATAAACCAAACATGAGTAAGTAAAAAGTACAGCTAATGGCTGGGTTGTTTTAGGAAGATTTCGACCCTCCTGAGAGATTGGGCTCGCACCCCAGACCTCATTTCCTACTAAAAACTGCATAAACAGAATCTTTAGCCAAGATTCCTCTCCCTTGCCTCCTCAACCTCCACCCCACCCTGAGTTTTTCATCAGAGACAAGAGCTTCCCAGTGCCATTGGCCCTTCAAGGATTCTAGAATGTTCACCCTGATGGATCACTCCCAGGGACAAAAGTGGTAACGGGTAAGGTAGGGAGAGAATTCCCCAGAAGGGTGATCCCTGTAGAAATGTCCTCTGGGGGCTAAGCCAGCAAGCCCACAGCCCTTGCAGGTGTGCATAGATGTTGTGTGTGCTATGGTGTGTGTGTGTGTCATATGTATGTGGTATGTGTGAATGGTATGTATATAGTGTGTATGTGGTATGAGTGTGTGCTGTGTGATTGTGTGGAGTGTGTGCGGTATGTACATGGTGTGTGTGAATGGTGTACTGTGTGTGTACTGTATGATGTGTGATGTGTGTGGTGTGCACATATGGTGTGTGGTGTGTTTGGTGTGTGTGGTATGTAATATGTGGTATGCATGTGCTTGTAGTATGTGTGCTGCATGTGTGGTATAAATGTGTGTGTGATATATATGTGTGGTGTGTATGTGTAGTGTGTATAGTGTGTGCAGTATGTGATGTGTGTGATATGTAATACATGATGTTCATGTG